>NC_000004.12:87406229-87557744 GCF_000001405.40 Homo sapiens | reverse complement strand
CTGCTCCCAGCTTTGGGGACTAGGAGCTATTTTATTCATTGACCTAGAGATAGAAGAATATACAGGCATTGAGCCATGCCAAACTCCCAAGAGATGTATCTACAAGCTAGCATATCAAGTATAACTATATCTGACAAAGCTTGCCCAGGGGAAGGGTACTCATTTCCTCTGGCTTGGTGGATCACCCAAGAGCACAAACCTCAGAGCAAATATTTGCAGAAGGAAAGTACAGGACGTGGGATGTTCTTACAGGCATATTTATGAAGCTAAGCCGGCTGGATAGAAAGCTCCCTTCATTTTAGGTATTCCCTAATGAATCACAATCACAGTCTATGAAGCAAAATCATTCTTTGGCCATTGACCATGCTACAGAAAAAGACCCACTATTAATCCCCTTTCTATAAAAGGGTTACTTACCTTCTTCTAAAGGTAACATTGCAACATGAGCCTTCTTCTTTCAAGTTCCATTAACATGCTAATTCCCAAGTGTATTAATTTTCATTGATTATATTTTAAAATGCTGACTTCCTAGAGATGCTGTGGACCAACTCTCACAGAGCAGAAAACTACCTCTAAATTATAGGATAATTCTAAACTGGTAAATAACCAATTGCAACCTTAGATTGAATTTTTTTAAAGCTTGTTTTGAAATGTGAAAGCAATACATGTCCCGAGTAAATCAGACTTAGGAGTCCTCAGCATGTGATTGCACTGACCACAGAGGTAGTTTTTACTCTAAATTTTAGGGTCTATAATACTTTGATGTCTACACCACTCTATCCATGGACAGAGTATTTTAAAACCCTAAGTACAGGCTATGTAGATGATCACATTGCTACTTGTTAGAGTTCTAATCATACAAAATAGCATTTAACCAAAAACCCAAAAGAGTTTTGGTAATTGATAACATTGCAAATATAACTGTGCATCACCACTGATCACTAGAGCTAGACCTTCATTATGGGACAAAGAACTACGAGAAAAAGATTTGGAAAATACTTGGAAACTCAAAACTTAATATGGTTTCTTGAATTTTAATTGGTCTACTTCAAAGGCTAATGTATTTCCTTTCTGAAAATGTCTGCATTACATTCAAACTATTTGAAATTGTCTTTCTTTATTATTGTGGTTGAGTAGAATGCCGGTTTTATTGAGTTAATTTGTCTGTATTTGTTATAGATTAAGCTAAGATATCTCAAAATTCAGTGGCTAATACAAAGTAGAAGTTTATTGCTCTCTCACATGTAACAGTCCATAGATAGACGATCTGAGACTGGGAGGGCATCTCTGCCATGCCCATTACACACCTTCGATCGCTGGCTCTAAAATGGCTGCCCCAGAACCCTCCATCATATCTACCTCTCAGGCAATAAGAAGAAAGAAAATAAGTTTGTGTTACTCATTTATTTCAAGGGCATGATGTAAAACTGGCACACATCACTTCTACTGCTATTCTACTGCCAGGAACTTAGTCATAAGGGCACAGCTACTGCAAGTGAATGTGGGAAATATAGACTCCAGCTGGAAAGCAGCATGCCCAGCTATGACTCAGGAGTTTTGATGCTAAAGAAAAAAGGACAGAACAGATACTGGTAGACAACTCATAGTCTCTCCCACAATGACCAGTTCTTTCTCATTTATAGCCAGCTCTTCATCATCCCTTCCATTATTTTCAGTATATTACCAAGTCCAAGTTCACAATTGAAATAAAGTAGAAAACGGGAACTTTTGCAATCCAGGATCCTGTCTGACTTGTAATTAAGGAACTCTATGGCTGCTTCTAGAGGCAAGAGTCTGAAGTACATTCCCTCCTCTTACTCTAGTATGTTGATGGCATTTACCAGTTCCTGTTGGTAAGTGATTGCACTTCAGGGATAAACAAAGGAATATGGATAGGAAGATGAGGAAAATTGGTTTTAACTATAACAAACAGAAGTCTCCTTGAGAGTAAAATTTATGTTTTTAATTTTTTTCAACTTTCTCACATTGCTTAGTAAATATAGTAGAAGCAGCAGCCATGGTTGTAGTAATAGCGATAGTAGTAGCAGGAATTGTAGTTGTAGACAAAAGTAAGATAAGTTAACCAACCAGGCACAGTGGCTCACGCCTATAATCCCAGGCCTTTGGGAGGCCAAGGCAGGTGGATCACTTGAGCTCAGGAATTCAAGACCAGCCTGGGCAATATGGTGAAACCCCATCTCTACCAAAAATACAAAAAATTAGCCAGGCATGGTGGTGTGAGCCTGTGGTCCCAGCTACTCGGGAGGCTGGAGTGGGAGGATCGCTTGAGATTGAGTGGTGGAGGTTGCAGTGAGCCAAGATTGCACCACTGCACTCCAGCCTGTGTGAAAGAATGACACCCCATCTCAAAAACAAAAGAGTAAGACAAGTTACCACCTTACATCTATTAGGATGGCCACTATCCAAAAAGAAAAAGCCAGAAAATTACAAGTGTTGAGAAGAATGTAGAGTAATTGGAACTCTTATACATTGTTGATGGGAATACATGTAAAAAGGTACATCCACTAGGGAAAACAGTATGGTGGTCCCTCAAAAAGTTAGAGATAAAATTGCTATATGATTACAATTCCATTTCTGAGTAGACACCAAAAATAATTGAAAGTAGGGTCTGAAAGAGATGTTTATATGCCCCTGTTCATAGCTGTATTATTCACAATAGCAACCGAAATGTACATCAACAGTTGAATAGATAAGCATGGGGGATATTTATACAATGGAATATTATTCAGCCTTAAAAATGAAGGAAATGCTGGCATGTGCTACAACATGAATGAAACTTGAAGACATTATGCTAAGTGAGATAAGCCAGTCACAAAAAAACACTGATTCCACTCATATGACATACTTATAGTAGTGGTCAAATCAGAGAGACAGAAAGGAGAATGATGGTTGCCAGGGACTGGGAGGAGGGTGGGGAATGAGGTATTATTGTTTAATGTGTATAGAGTTTCCGTTTTTTTTGGTCTTTTTTTTTTTTTTTGAGATGGAGTCTCACTCTGTCACCCAGGCTGGAGTGCAGTGGCACAATCTTGGTTCACTGCAACCTCCGCCTCCCCAGTTCGAACAGTTCTCCTGTCTCAGCCTCCCGAGTAGCCGGGACTACAGGCGTGCACCACCATGCCTGGCTAATTTTTGTATTTTTATTAAAGACAGGGTTTCACCATATTGGTCAGGCTGGTCTCGAACTCGTGACCTCAAGTGATCCACCTACCACGGCCTCCCAAAGTGTTGGGATTACAGGCCTGAGCCACCACGCCCCAACAGAGCTTCAGTTTTACAAGTTGGAAAGAGTTCTGGAGTTGGATGGCAGTGATGGTTGAACATTATAAATGTATTTAATACTACTGAGAGATACATTTAAAAATGGTTAAGTTGGTACATTTTCTGTTACGTATATCACATGCCACAGTATTTTTTTTACCACAGTTAAAAAAAATAGGAGGAAAAAATAGTAATAAAGTTTGTCTTTTACTGCACACTTGCACGTGCCAAGTCTTTCTTATTTTCCTAAATAATTTCATTGGATCTTCATAACAATTCTGCATAGTAATTAATTTGCCTCTTTTGAAAATGAGGACTCTGAAACCAGATGCAGTGGCTCATACATGGAATCCCAGCACTCTGGGAGACTGAAGTGGGCAGATCGCTTGAGATCAGGAGTTTGAGACCAGCCTGGGCAATGTGGTGAAACACCATCTCTACAAAATATTTTTTTAAAAAAAGAAAGAAAAAAGAAAAGAAAATGCAGAAGCTGAAGCAAAGTGAGGTGAAGTATCTTGCCCTAAATTTCATAACAAGTACAGAATAATACCAGAATTTTAAGATAGGCAGCCTGGCCTGGCATGGTGGCTCGTGCCTGTAATCCCAGCACTTTAGGAGGCTGAGGCAGGTAGATCACTTGAGGTCAGGAGTTTGAGACCAGCCTGGCCAATGTGGTGAAACCCCGTCTCTACTAAAAAATACACAAAGTAGCCTGGCGTGGTGGCACAAATGTAGTCCCAGTTACTCAGGGGGCTGAGGCAGGACAATCGTTTGATCCCAGGAGGCAGAGGTTGCAGTGAGCCAAGTTCATGCCACTGCACTCCAGCCTGAGCAATGGGAGTGAGATTCCACCTCAAAAAAAAAAAAAAAAAGTAGGCAGCCTAACTGCCTATATTATAGAGCAGGCCTAATAGATGCTCTTTATTAAGGCACTGTGCTAGACACTTCACATGTATATCCTCACAATAATCTCACGGTGCTATTTACACATGGTAAAACGGGATTTAAAAGATCAGATAACTTTCCTTAAGTCACACAGCTAGTGAGTAGTGGAAACAAGATTTAAACCCAGACAGTCTGATTCCTATCCCCCAAACAAATACAGAGCTCAGGCTCCGAGCTGCACACATAAAAGATGCTTACTAGCAGCATCTGCTGTTTGTTGGGGAAAGCATAAACTAACATGACTTTTTCATCTTCTAGTAGCTTTTCCATTCTTTCTTCTAATTCAGCAGGAGCACACTGGAATATCGAGTTAAAACAGTTCCACACAGGTGAGCAGGTAGATTGTTTGGTCTGGTAAGCCAGTCATCTTTGTCTTGTGTTTGGTAAAAATGAAGTTGTTTTGTCTCATTATGGCCCTGAGAGGTATTTAAAGTTCTATCCAGAGATATCTTATGTTTGTCATCTTTGTCTGACTATAAAAATAAAACCAATGGTGTGCTGCAGGTACAAGCACAAAAGTTGAGTGCATGAAGGTTGGAAGGATAAAAGATCAAGGGAGTGATGGGATGTTTCTTAGCTATATTCATTGCGATGCCTTCCCTTCTTCCTCTTGTCTCTGTCACATACACACTCCCCTAAAATTCACTAGAAACAGCCGCCCCTGAGCACCTATATCCAGGCATTTCCCTATACCTCAGATATCTGTCAGCAAGGTAAACCCTAGAAAAAATTGTAAGGGCAATATAAATGTTCCTCGATTTATGATGGAGTTACTTCCTGATAAACCCATTGTAGGCTGAAAATATCCTAAATCAAAAATGCATTTAGAAAACTGAACCTACCTTAAACATACACAGAACACTTATGTTAGCCCACAGTTGAGCGAAATCATCTAACACAAAGCTTATTTTGTAATAAAGTGTTGAATTTCTCATGTAATTTATTGAATTCTGTACTGAAAGTCAAAAAAAGAACAGTAAGTGTACTCAAAGCATGGTTTCTGCTGAATGCATATAGCTTTTGCATTATCATAAAGTTGAAAAATTGTGAGTTGAACCATCGTAGTCAAGGATCATCTGTATGTGTTTCCTCCATCTCCATTTTACCTTCCTTCTGTCCTACTTTTGTGGGTGTCTTCAAGCTATTCTTTTTTTTTTTTTTTTTTTTCTGAGACAGAGTCTTGCTCTGTCCCCCAGGCTGGAGTCCAATGGCACAGTCTTGGCTCACTGCAACCTCCACCTCCCAGGTTCATGCAATTCTCCTGCCTCAGCCTCCCAAGTAGCTGGGATTACAGGCGCCCGCCACCACGCCCAGCTAATTTTTTGTATTTTTAGTAGAGATGGAGTTTTGCCATGTTAGCCAGGCTGGTCTCAAACTCCTGACCTCAGGTGATCCACCCGCCTCGGCCTCTCAAAGTGCTGGGATTACAGGCATGAGCCTCCACACCTGGCCTTCAAGCTATTCTTTTGACAGCTACAAATTCCTCATAAAAGCCTCTCTGTCCCTGCTTATGCTTAACCAACCCACTTGCTTATTCAACAATGATGTGTGGCTTCACACAGAGCCAGGCACTGTTTTAGACTCTTGAGACACAATAGTGAATAAAACAGACAAAAATCTCTGCCCCTGAGAAATTTACATTCTAGCAAGGGCAGGTTGGAAATAAACACAATGCATTATAAATGAGTAAATAGTTTGTTAAAAGATCATTATTCTATGTTTTAAAAAAGGAGAAAAAATTTGGGCAGGGAAGAAGGATTAAGACCTAAGGGAATAAGGAAAAAGTATGGTTTTCAGAATTAAATAATGTGGGCGGAGAGGTCTCATTGAGGAGAAACTGGAATAAAGAGGAGGTTGGTGAGAGAGTAAGCCAAGTAGGTAAACTAGGGAAGAGCATTCCAAGCAGGAGGAGCAAACACAAAGGCTCCCCATCAAGAGTGTGTCTGAGGGGTGTGAAGAGCTGCAGGGAGGCCAGCGTTCTGCAGCAGAGTGAGTAAGTGAGTGGGGGGACAATAGCAAGAGATGAGGTCAGCACAGTTACTGCACCGTAGCCTCAAGAACTTGGAGACCAATGTGAGGACTTGGGGTGTTACTCTGAGTGAAACTGGGTGTAAATAGAAAGTAAATTTCATTTTCTCCCAATTTAATTAATATAGACAGAATATTTCTCCTCTTTTAAGAAAACATATAAAAATCTAAGAAATAACACAATGGGAAGGACCATGACCTAACCAAGTTAATCTCCTGCATCTAAAGTGTTTCCAGCTTGCTAAGGGGAACAAATTCTTCTCTAAGATCTCCTTTAAACCCAGTGCTGTGGCCGGGTGCAGTGGCTCCCGTCTGTAATCCCAGCACTTTGGGATGCCAATGTGGGCAAATCACCTGAGGTCAGGAGTTCAAGACCAGCCTGGCCAACATGCCAAAACCCCATCTCTACTAAGAATACAAAATTAGCCAGTCATGGTGGCATGTGCCTGTAATCCCAGCTACTTGGGTGGCTGAGGGAAGAGAATCGCTTGAACCCAGGAAGCAGAGATTGCAGTGAGCCAAGATCGTGCCACTGCACTCCAGCCTGGGCGACAGCAAGACTATCTCAAAAGAAAACAACAAACAACAACAACAAAAAAAAGACCAGTGCTGTATCCTAATCACTAACATCCCCTTAAAAACTGTAAGAGAACTTTGTAGAAAAGCACATAATCCTGTCTTCAGATATATTCTTTTAGCTTGCATAAACTCTTATGAAAAGATATTTTGTCAGTTAACAATAGGATTTTCCAGCCCTTCATGCTTGCCAGTTGGGTCCTCAAGCTCCAGGACTTAGAGAACCTAAGACTTCCATAAAATTAAAAATGAACAAATACAATTTATTCTAACAAAAATTTGGGGATTTAGATGGCTAAAACATCAGGAATCTGGTTTAAAGCCACAAAGTTCTTTCCAGCCCAAATTAATGTTTAAGTAAAGTGATTCTTTTCTTTGGTTCTCATTTTTGTATTATTATTTAGCCGTGACTTTCAACATTCAAGGGTAAATATTTATATATAATTTATATTAAGATGGAGAACATTTCCTTCAGAAAAATTGCTAAAAAGCTACTTGAGTGAAGTGCAAGACCCCAAGGGAATGCTTGAGTAACAAAAAATAGTTGATGAAATACTGAATCAAGAATCAAGTGAATTAAGGGGAAAGGAATAAGAGGTTGTAGCAGTCATACCCTTCAGGTGTATCAGGTGAAGGAAAAAGACAAGGAGGTCAGGGGATCACCGAGGGGACAAGGACAAAGAGAGGGAAGGAGGACACTCTGGAATAGGACAGCCAGAAAAAGACCAAAAGGAGCAAACACATCAGCTGTAGATTTTTAAAGTGGATTTCAGCAGCCTGTGTTCTATGACCCTCTCTCTACAACAGAAGGGACAGAAGACACATAGGTTATAGGCACCCTTCAATTATTTAAACTTTTTTTAAGCAGTCATGAAGAAATACAGACATGACATTTGGAGACATACAATTCTTTCTTAATAAATAGTAATAATACTTTTCCTTAGGTGTTTTTGGTGCTTGAATGGCTCACCATGTTTATCTCCTCCCAGTGAAGGAAGAAATGGGCATCTATTATTAACCCCAGGTTGCAAGGAATGACATCACCAAGGCAACAAGAAAGCAAAAGGCTGAGAAAGGAAAAGGCAGCATGTTAACTAGATCACAGGACAGGATTTTTCAACCTCAGCACTACTGACATTTTGGACAGCATAATTATTTTTTGGGAGGTTGGGGCTTGATGGGGATGGGAAGAACCCATCCTGGGCACTGCAGACTGTTTAACAACCACTCTGCCCTCTACCCACTAAACTGCCAATAGCACCTGCCCAGTTGTGACCATCAAAAATGTCTCCAGACTTTGCTAAATGCAAAATCACCCCCAATTGAGCCCAGCTCTCAGAGTATGACCTACTTGTGCCATATGTAACTCTTTCCTCATTCTAATCCTCAAAACCCACCTAAAAATAATAAGGAGACTGACATATCTGTACTTTTGAAAACTAGCACTGGAGTGGCAATCGAAAAGTCAGCAGAAATAAGAAAAAAACTTCAGAATTCTAGTTAGATGCTGTCCAACCTTAGTGTTTTTGCAGCAACTACATAGATATTTCATATTGACAAGAGACTAATTTATGTAAATTGGTTTTTGTTTATGTGATCGAGAAATGTAACCCATATGAAAAATTTTACCAGCTGCTGAAAGGAACTAGAAGGCTGAACCTTTTATTTCCTTGATCAAAAGGTGAGTTTCTTTCTTCCCGTCTTCTTTTAAGTGAAATAAAGACATAGTTTGAAAACACACCTGCCCATTTGGCTCAATAGTTGAGTCTTGTCTGGCTGTAGTGTAAAAATAGGCATTCCTCTGTCTGAACATGAAAATAGCACTTCCCCAACAAAAGCCAAAACTTTTAGAATGACAAAAAATGTTTACTTTCATAAAAAAGCCTTTTCCTCTAGTGTTTATTTGAGGATTGTGTAGGTGTCCTAGCAGAAGTAAGCAGGTATATAAGGCTCAGAGACAAGCCTGTGACAGCATGCTTCTTGCAGCAGCTGAGAGGAGCTTGTAATAGTCACAACTTTCTACGTGTTAGGTTGAGAATATACACTGGTGTAATGGATATCTTCCCCTTTTCGTAAGTTGCAGTTATATTGAAATAATAATAATTATCAAACTAACTGTCTAATCTTTGTGGGACACTTTATATTCACTTATTCATTTGTTCATCCAACAAATCATTATTCAAAATCTACCGAGCAATGTTCTAGATATTTAAATATATTGGTGAACTAACAAAATAAATTAAAAATCTCTGCCCTTGTGGAGATTTTTAAAAATAAGATGGGCAGGCCGGATGCAGTGGTTCATACCTGTAATCCCAGCACTTTGGGAGGCTGAGGCAGGCGAATATCCTAAGGTCAAGAGTTCGAGACAAGCCTGGCCAACATGGTGAAACTTCGTCTCTACTAAAAATACAAAAAAAAAAATAGCTGGGCTTGGTGGCCATGCCTGTAGTCTCAGCTTCTCAGGGAGGCTGAGGCAGAAGAATCACTTGAACCCAGGAGGCGGAGGTTGCAGTGAGCCAAGATCATGCCACTGCACTCCAGCCTAGGCGACAGAGGAGGGAGACTCCATCTCAAAACTAAAAAAAAAAAAAAGATGGACTGGGCGCGGTGGTTCACGCCTGTAATCCCAGCACTTTGGGAGGCCAAGGTGGGCAGATCACCTGAGGTCAGAAGTTCGAGACCAACCTGGCCAACATGGTGAAAGCCCATCTCTACTAAAAATACAAAAATTAGCTTGGTGGCACATGCCTGTAATCCCAGCTACTCAGGAGGCTGAGGCAGGAGAATCACTTGAACCCAGGAGGCGGAGGTTGTAGTGAGCTGAGATCGTGCCACTGCACTCCAGCCTGGGCAACAGAGCAAGCCTCCATCTCAAAAAATAGAATAAAATAAAAATAAGATATAGATATGTAGATAGGTTTGGATGGATATAGATATATAGATATGTGTATACCGTTAGAAGGTTAGAAATGAAACAGAAGAAAATGAAACAGGGCAGTGTTGGCAAATTTTCTGAAAAGGGCCAGGTAGTAAATTGTTTAGACTTCGTGGGCCACGTTGTCTCTCAACTCTGCCATTGTTGGACAAAAGCAGTCATATTCAAGGTGTAAAATACAAGAACAACAACAACAAATGAGTTTGGCTATGTTCCAATAAAACTTTATTTACAAAAACAGGTGGTTAGAGGTCATAATTTGCCAACCCCTGAGACGTGGTAAAGGGAATCAGGAGTTCAAGAGGGTCATCAGTTTTAAATAGGATGATCAAGGTGATAATATATTCAATCAAAAACTAGAAGGAGGTGAACAAGTCAAGCTTGTGGTTATACAGAGGAAGAGCATTCCAGGTTGATGGGCAGCCAGTGCAAAAGTCCTGTGGCAGCAATATGTCTGGTGCATTTTGGAGCTCAGCAAAGACCTCTGTCTGGCTGAGGCAGAATGATGGGCAACCCTATTTCTAACCACCTCACTGGTATCACAATTCATTTTCTTCTTTCTTCCTTTCCACCGCACCCCTTCTGTTAAATGAAATGTGTTATTACAATGAGTAAGGGCTCAGAAATAGGCTTTTTCCTCACCTAGGAAATGTAAGAGGCATTGATATGTTCTATTTTGTCCCCATTAAGGCCTTGGTTCAAATCAACACTGAGAACAGAGATGACAGATGAAGGCAAGAACGCCTAACCGCAGAGGTTTCCTCCAGCAACATTTTACCAACACATTCTAATCCTCAGCAAAGCCAGCAGAATGAAGGTTTCTGATCAGAAAAGCAACTATAAAATACTGCCTTATTCACGTGGCCTGTTTATTCCTGGAGTGTTTTTCAGAGGGAACTGGATGTAACCTTTTATAGGACCAGAAGGCAGGACTATAATTTCTAAATTGTCAATAAATCCATCTAGGAGCGAGTACTTTATAACTCTGGATCCTGATGTGCTGTGAAGGAAAAATACCTTGAGCCTTCAGATGCCAGCAGAGCAAAGCCAGTCTATGTTCTCAAGTCCACAGGCTCGCCCACAAGGTGGGACAGTACACCTTGTGTCCAAGAGTGAGAACCCATGGGCGTGAGGGAGTCTTGGCAGGGGTGGCATGGTGTGAAATCTGTTTTTATTTAATTCAAGATGGAGTCTGCTTATAATGCAATTTTGAATAACTTTTTATTTATTCCATCTTATTCTACAAAATATGTTTCTTATGAAAAGATAACATATCAAGGGATATAAGGTAAAACAAAAGCCTGGGTAAGATTAGCATGCATATAGAAACAGAACTATCATTTGACCCAGCAATCCCATTACTGGGTATATACCCAAAGGAATAGAAATCATTCTACCATAAAGACACATACATGCATGTGTACATTGCAGCACTATTCGCAAGAGCAAAGACATGGAATCAACCTAAATGCCCATCAGGGACAACAGATAGAATTTTTTTATTTAAAAAAAAATTTTTTTTATTTTTATTTATTTATTTTTTTGAGACAGAGTCCCCCTCTGTCACCCAGGCTGGAGTGCAGTGGTGCGACCTCGGCTCACTGCAAGCTCCACCTCCCAGGTTCACACCATTCTCCTGCCTCAGCCTCCTGAGTAGCTGGGATTACAGGTACTTGGCAATTTTTTGTATGTTTAGTAGAGACGGGGTTTCGCCGTGCTAGCCAGGATGGTCTCGATCTCCTGACCTCGCGATCTGCCTGCCTCGGCCTCCCAAAGTGCTGGGATTACAGGCGTGAGCCACCACACCCGGCCAGATAGAATTTTTAAAAGTGTGGTACATATACACCATGGAATACTATGTTGTTCTGTATGGAATACTATGCAGCCAAAAAAGAATGAGATCATGTCTTTTATAGGAACATGAATGGAGCTGGAGGCCATTATCCTTAGAAAACGAATACTGCATGTTCTCACTTGTAAGTGGGAGCTAAGGCCGGTCTCATTTGGGAGGCCGAGGCAGGCAGATCACGAGGTCAGGAGATCGCGAGACCATCCTGGCTAACACGGTGAAACCCCGTCTCTAGTAAGAAATACAAAAAATTAGACGGTCCTGGTGGCGGTGCCTGTAGTGCCAGCTATTCCAGAGGCTGAGGCAGGAGAATGGCGTGAACCTGGGAGGTGGAGCCTGCAGTGAGCCGTGATGGCGCCACTGCACTCCAGCCTGGGCGACAGAGGGAGACTCTGTTTCAAAAAAATAAAAAATAAAAATAAGCGGGAGCTAAAAGATGAGAACTCATGGACACAAAGCGGGGAACAACAGACACTGGGACCTACTTGAGAGTGGAGGGTGGGAGGAGGGAGAGGATCTGGAAAAATAACTACTGGGTAGTAGGCTTAGCATCTGGGTGACAAAATAATCTGTACACCAAACCCCCATGACACAAGTTTACCTATATAACAAACCTGCACACGGACCTCTGAACTTAAAATAAAAGTTAAAAAAAAAAAAAAAAAAAAAAGATTAGCAAGCAGAAACGCCTATACAGGGCACCAAAACTTCACTCCCCACTCAAACCTTGCTCCACACCTTCCCCATCCACATAAAGTGCACTTTAGCTCCCTGGAATTCTTCCAGTTGCCAGAATGCAGGTCTTCTCCCCAGTAGGTGGTTCGTCTTCAGGTCAGGAATGCCAGCACCCCACCTCCTTTCCCTTAGGAAACTCACACCGCCTCAGGCCTGAAGGGGACTTCTTCAAATGAAGTCCTGTCTTGTTATGTTCTCATAGCAAGGGCCCTTCCCTTCACAGCACTTTTCAGTTTGTGCATTTATCTGAGTAATAAATAAATATCTGTTACTTCCTCTAAACTGGAAGCTTCATGAGGACAGGATTCCTTCTCCTTTTGCTCCCCATCATATCTCCAGCAGCCAGCTGGCACATACGGGCACTCCGTACATACTGGTTGAATAAATGAAGCCTCCCAGCAGTCAAAGAAAAGAGAAAGGCATAATAAGTTAAAATATTTAGAAAGTCAATATATCAAGACAAACAGCTTTTCCTGCATTCTGAGTTTTAAGCAAAATTTCTCCCATGGGTCCTTAAAAACAGAACATTGTATGAATTTGTAGACATCTTTTTGTTGATGTAATAATACATTTTATTTTTTATATTTTTTTATTTTTATTTTTTGAGACAGAGTTTCACTCTTTTTTTTTTTTTTTTTTTTTTTTGAGACGGAGTCTCACTCTGTTACCCAGGCTGGAGTGCAGTGGTGTGATCTCGGCTCACTGCAACCTCCATCCCCCAGGTTCAAGTGATTCTCCTGCCTCAGCCTCCTGAGTAGCTGGGATTACAGGCGCCTGCCACCACACCCAGCAAATTTTTTTATTTTTAGTAGAGACAGGGTTTCATCGTGTTGGCCAGGCAGGTCTCGAACTCCTGACCTCAGGTGATCCACCCTCCTCGGCCTTCCAAAGTGCTGGGATCATAGGCGTGAGCCACCACGCCTGGCCTAATAACACATTTTAAACAGCTGCTTCTTAAAGCTTCCCTCAGTACAAAGATTTTGAGGGAGGCCAAATCACAATTCAGTAGAAATAATTCTACAGGACCCAAAGCAACATGATCCAGGAACACAGTTCTCTCAGGGCTCTGGTTTCATGCAAAGGTAAAACAATGTGAGAGAAATTGAGCAAGAGGGACTGCACATCCTTCAGGCCCTGCTCTGCAAGTATTTCTTCCAGTCAGGATTATGGTCTGATTGGACAGCTGAGAGGTGAAAGTTACCGTCTCTGTGAACACAGAAAGGGCAGATCCACATTCAGTCTTTGATCGTCAGCTGGAAAGGGAATGATAATTCAATTGACTATTGTTCAGGATGGAGCTTTCTTCATTCTGCTGGAGAAAGAATGAATCCTTGGTCTCATTCATTTAAGGATGACTGTGGTTCATACTCCCCTCTTGTGGCCACTTCCAAGTATACTGGCCTGTACCCAGGAGCCCAGTAAGGCAAAAGAGATATCAAATTCCTTTATATATGTTAGTTAACCTAGGAATTGCTCATTCTTTTTTTCCTTCTAGAATGTCAGACCAGTTTTTAGAAATTGGCAGATGTTGAACAGCATGTTAAAACGAGGGTCAATTGAACATATTAAATCTTCATTGGTCAATATTTTTAAATGTTTAAAAGGCTCAATATTTGGGCCAAAGAGGGTAGACAAATCACGCAAATGCATGAGAATCCTGATGGTTCCTTACACATTACCCTTCCTGAAGTATGTTTGCCTTCTCTCAATTTGGTTCTCTTCAAGTAACACATCCATAGATTTGGAATTTTGGGGGCATGTGGGAAGGAATGATCTGGTGAATGAAGCAATCAATAGAGTTGCAAATGCTCATTTTACAAATATTTAAGTACTTGCCACTGTGGGGAATCAAGGTTATACAAGAAAATGATCCCTGGTGGGGCACAATGGTTCATGTCTGTAATCCCAGCACTTTGGGAGGCTCAGGGGGGAAGATCACTTGAGCTCAGGAGTTTGAGACCATCCTGAGCAACACAGGGAGACATCCATCCCTGGAAAAAAAAAATTTTTTTTAATTAGCCAGGCCTGGTGGCTTAAGCCTGTAGTCCCAGCTACTTGGAAGGCTGAGGTAGGAGGATCGCTTGAGCCTGGGAGGTCAAGGCTGCAGTGAGCCATGATTGGCCCATGGCACCCCAGCCTGGGTGACAGAGCAAGACCCTGAGGAAGGAAGGAAGGAAGGAAGGAAGGAGGGAGGGAGGGAGGGAGGGAGGGAGGGAAGGAAGAGAGAGAGAGAGAGAAAGAAAGAAAGAGAAAGAAAGGAAAGAAGGAAAGAAAGGAAAGGAGGAAGGAAGGATGGAAGGACAGAAGGAAGGAAGGGAAAGAAAGAAAGAGGGAAGGAAGGAAGAAAGAAAAAGAAAAGCAAGGAAAGAAAGAAGGAAAGAAAAGAAAGAAAGGAAAGGAGGAAGGGAGGAAGGAAGGATGGAAGGAAGGGAAAGAAAGAAGGAAGGAAGGAAGAAAGAAAGAAAAGAAAAGCAAGGAAAGAAAGGAAAGAAGGAAAGAAAAGAAAGAAAGGAAAGAAGGAAGGGAGGAAAGAAGGAAGGAAGGAAAGAAAAGAAAGGAAAGAAAGAAAGAAAAAAGAAAGAAGGAAGGAAGGAAAGAAAGAAAAAGAAAGAAAGAAAGAAAGAAAGAAGAGAAAGAAAGAAAGAAGAGAAAGAAAGAAAGAAGAAAGAAAGAAAGAAAGAAAGAAAGAAAGAAAGAAAGAAAGAAAGAAAGAAAAGAAAGAAAGAAAGAAAGAAAGAAAGAATCCCTGTTTGAAAATATTACCTAGTAAGGGATAGAGGACTCTGTATTACACAATGAAAAGTGAAAAATGCCAGAGAAAAAATTAAATGAATATGCTATTCCCCTATGACACAGGACAGAGCCAGAGATGGGAAGTGAAGGGCAAATGAGGGTGATGAGCCACTCCTTCCGAGCCAACTCGTCCTATCGCACTTGCTCTGAGCAGAGTGTTCCAAACACTTTATCAAAAATAATACGTTATTGAAGTTCAGAGAAAGAATAACCTCTTATCAGATATAGCAAAGAAGGATTCTTGGAAAGGAGACATCTAAAGTTCGACTTTGAAAGATTGGTAAGATTTAAACATGAAGGTTTCAGGCAGAAGAAGCCACCTTAGTCAAAGGAGTGAGGCAGAAAATTACAAAGTAAGTCAAGGAAAGGAGAAAAAGTTGATGTTCACATAAGTGAAGGGAAGATATTACATAAAGTGGCAGATGGCTTTAAAATGCCTGGCTCACGAGTTTAGAATTGACTTGGTAGGCAGTGGGAAGCTATTGAAAACTTTTAAGCAGGAGAGGAACATGATGTGAATTACACTTTGAGAGGGTGAAATTGTTTAAAATAGTGTTTAAGATAGATTGGGTTGGAAAGAGAAGGAAGTCTCTGGAACTGTGCTCAAAGCTTAGTGTTCAGTGGCCCAGCCCAGCTCACAGACCCGTTTTATTTGGCACAAAGACTATTGGTCAATATTTAATAATCCCATAAAATGTTAGATTTCTGGTTTCTCTCTAAAACAGTAAAATGATCAGACAATGTTGGGCTGCCATTTCCCTGTGACAATAAAGCTACAAGAATTGAGTAGCAGCTGCCACCTTCAGATGGACTACATATTTTCCATTTCCCAAGTCCCATGCACCCCCTCTTGTCTTCCTAACACAAAGGCCATGTGTCAGCTGCCAGTCATCCCTGCCTGTGTTGGGAGAGTGTCGTTTTCTTACTTCGGGCCCCCTTCGTTAATTTCTGTGGCCTCCCTGGCCCTTGAGGGCAATTTGCATTTGTGAATGTGAGTCCAGAGGTAGGGAAAACAGTCAGACGTGAAGTGATTGGGGCTTTCATCAGGGATTAGAGCATAGGAATGAAAAAGGGCATGTGCAGGAAATATTTGTCCTGTGCTTTTACAGATCTCAACCAACTTTAGCACACAACATGAGAAGCGCTAACAACATGGACAAAAAGCTTATAATTATAAAGATTTTTACTGCATTTCCTCCGAAAAGTAACTGTAATGTATTCAAAAAGTTATTCTTCTGTGTTCTTTTATAAATGTTTGTAGAGTAATGAATGCTGTTATAAATATTATATCAAGTTCTTAGAAAATCATTCATGACTCAGTTTCTCCAGCTATAAATTGTAATTGCCAATGAATTACCCCATAGTAAATTGTGTTTTTTTCAGGCATGAGATGTGTTTCAGTCAATTGGTGAGGATCATTAGTAAAAGGGCAAAATTGGTTCAGGGGTAGCTAGAATTCTATTCTTTTATATATAAAACACAGATACAGATAATATTATATAAATAGATATACGGTGTATCTGGAGTATTAAAATTTCATGGTGGGAGGAGACATTCAGGAAAAAAATGTTCAAAAAGCTCCTTGGGGGAGTGACAATGAAAAGAAATTTTTAAGAAATACTGAGCTAGCGAGGACAGGCATTGTGCAAATCATTCATTTTTGTCTCATTTCAAGTTGCCAGCCAGTTAATGCCAATGTAGACTCTAAACAGTCCGAATTTGGCTCGCCTAACATTTGCTAGAGACAAAGCCTCAGCTGCATCCCTGACGTTGTACAATCAGACCACGCAAAATCTAACAAACCCATTGCTCCTTCACAAGGGAAATATCAACAAAAATACAAATACCGTTGCTCAAAACCAACAAGAAAACACAACCATTGGAGCAAATTTCCAGAATAGGCTTTGCGTCATTGCACAAGCAGTACTTCTTAGTCTAAAACATCTTGCTCTGGGAACTGAACACTACAGCCAAGAAAACATCAGACATTTGGAGAAGAGCGGCGTTTGGCTAATAACAGCAAAGTGACCTCACCCATGAGAAGGCCCAAGTATAAACTTCTGTCTTGGTGAATAAGACGCAGCCTGCAAGTCAAATGCACAGAAATATAAAGTTCAGCTGCACCTCACTTGGACAAGAGATCTGTACACCAGGCGATTTGATACATTGGGTTCTGTGTCTATCCCAAGGTGAGGTCAGAATGAAAGAGTAGCTACATAGCTCATGCGGTTATTACCCAGCCAACCCAAATTCTCCCAAACTCAATGAGGGCTCTGTCTGAGAAAAGACAACGGCATAAAACTCAAGGAATTTATGTGAGCAGCTGCTGTGTTTGCATAGCTTGACTAAAGGGATATGTTTCACCCCTCTGCCTAAAAATCGTCATTCTTCACATATAGTATTAGCAGTTCATGTGAAAAGAGGAGGCGTTCTATATCCTATTACAGAGGTTCCTTGACACAATCTTCAACAATATTCAGCTTTCTTTCTTTTTTTTATTTTATTATTATTATGCTTTAAGTTTTAGGGTACATGTGCACGATGTGCAGGTTAGTTACATATGCATACATGTGCCATGCTGGTGTGCTGCAGCCATTAACTCGTCATTTAGCATTAGGTATATCTCCCAGTGCTATCCCTCCCCCCTCCCCGCACCCCACAACAGTCCCCAGAGTGTGCTCTTCCCCTTCCTGTGTCCATATGTTCTCATTGTTCAGTTCCCACCTATGAGTGAGAATATGCGGTGTTTGGTTTTTTGTTCTTGCGATAGTTTACTGAGAATGATGATTTCCAATTTCATCCACGTCCCTATAAAGGACATGAACTCATCATTTTTTATGGCTGCTAGTATTCCATGGTGTATATGTGCCACATTTTCTTAATCCAGTCTATCATTGTTGGACATTTGGGTTGGTTCCAAGTCTTTGCTATTGTGAATAATGCCACAATAAACATACGTGTGCATGTGTCTTTATAGCAGCATGATTTATAGTCCTTTGGGTATATACCCAGTAATGGGATGGCTGGGTCAAATGGTATTTCTAGTTCTAGATCCCTGAGAAATCACCACACTGACTTCCACAAGGGTTGAACTAGTTTACAGTCCCACCAACAGTGTAAAATTGTTCCTATTTCTCCACATCCTCTCCAGCACCTGTTGTTTCCTGACTTTTTAATGATTGCCATTCTAACTGGTGTGAGATGGTATCTCATTGTGGTTTTGATTTGCATTTCTCTGATGGCCAGTGATGGTGAGCATTTTTTCATGTGTTTTTTGGCTGCATAAATATCTTCTTTTGAGAAGTGTCTGTTCATGTCCTTCACCCACTTTTTGATGGGGTTGTTTGTTTTTTTTCTTGTAAATTTGTTTGAGTTCATTGTAGATTCTGGATATTAGCCCTTTGTCAGATGAGTAGGTGGCGAAAATTTTCTCCCATTTTGTAGGTTGCCTGTTGAGAAAAACAAGCAATGGGGAAAGGATTCCCTATTTAATAAATGGTGCTGGGAAAACTGGCTAGCCATATGTAGAAAGCTGAAACTGGATCCCTTCCTTACACCTTACACAAAAATTAATTCAAGATGGATTAAAGACTTAAACGTTAAACCTAAAACCATAAAAACCCTAGAAGAAAACCTAGGCATTACCATTCAGGACATAGGCATGGGCAAGGACTTCATGTCTAAAACACCAAAAGCAATGGCAACAAAAGCCAAAATTGACAAATGGGATCTAATTAAACTAAAGAGCTTCTGCACAGCAAAAGAAACTACCATCAGAGTGAATATTCAGCTTTCTTATTGGCCTTCATCATCATCGCCATTATTATCATATATTGAACCCCAGTCTAGTCATGAATTGGGCAAAGCACTATGCAAACATCATCTCTTTTCCTCGCAGCTACCCTATTAGACAGGTTTTATTATCATCCTTATTGGACACATAAGGATAATGAGACACAGAGAGAGAGGTTAAGTAACTTGCCCAACATCACACAGCTAGGAAGCATCAGAGCTGGAACTTGAATTCAGGTCTTTCTGACTCATCAATTTTCTGCTATACTTCCTCCAGTGACAGCAAGGATTTTAAATACACTTTCCTTCCTTACAGGGCTTGATTGGTGTAATTTAGCTTGAGGAATAGAACTTATTTCTGGTAGTATTCAGTGGCATCAGTGATTAGCAAAACCCTCCAGGCCTTTTTTATGTCTTATGATAGCCTAGCACCTGATAGGGAGGTAGCATGAAGGATTAAAGGGTTAAGAAAACAACAGGCAGTGAACTTCAACTCCAAATGTCCTTCAATTTAGAATGTACCAATTCTGAATCAAAGTAATGGATATACATAACTCTTTGGGCCTGGAACTCAGACGCACATGTCTAGCACTCTGGCAATAAACCTGGCAGTCCATGTTCACAGCAAATACCATCAGGCTAGATTCTTTTGGATTTTTCCCTACAGAGTTTGGAGAGAGTATGGCCCTGCTTCCTTGATTTTAGAGTTTTGGCCCCCAAAACTTTGAGAAAATAAAGTTCTATTGTCTTAAGCCAAACAGTTTATGGTAAGTTGTGATGGCAGCCCTTGGAAACCAATACAGATTTTGGTACTGAGAATGGGATACCGCCATAACAAATTCCTAAAAATGTTGAAGTGGATTTGGAATTGGATAGTGGTGGTAGTGGGAAGAATTTTTAGACACTTTTTTTTTTTTTTTCATTTTTTTGAGACTGAGTCTTGCTCTGTCACCCATGCTGGAGTTCAGCGGTGCAATCTTGGCTCCCTGCAACCTCCGCCTCCCAGGTTCAAGCGATTCTCATGCCTCAGCCTCCCAGGTAGCTGGGATTACAGG
Source organism: Homo sapiens (assembly GCF_000001405.40). Taxonomy (NCBI): domain Eukaryota; kingdom Metazoa; phylum Chordata; class Mammalia; order Primates; family Hominidae; genus Homo; species Homo sapiens. Next base: position 87,537,751 of record NC_000004.12, on the reverse strand, counting down.
TACATGCCACTGTGCCAGGCTAATTTTCATATTTTTAATAGAGATGGGTTTTCACCATGTTGGCCAGGCTGGTCTCGAACTCCTGAGCTCAAATGATCCACCCATCTCAGCTTCCCATATGCTGGGATTATAGGCATGAGCTACCACTCCCAGCCTAGACACATGGTTTCAAAGATCCTAGATTGCCTTGAAAAGATTGTTGGTAGAAATGTGGACGTTAGAGGAGATTCCAGGAAGGGCTCAGAAAGAAGTAAGGAGAACTGTAGATAAATCGTCTATCATCTTAGAGAACATGTATATTGTCACAAACAGAATGTTGGTAGAAATATAAATGTTAAGGTGCTTCTGGTGAGGACTCAGAGGAAATGAAGAACATGTTATTTGACACTGTCGGGAAGGCGATTCTTGTTATAAAATGGCAGGAACTTGACTGAATTATGTTCTACTGTTGGGTGGAAAGCAGAACTCATAAGTGATGAACTTGGATATTGAACTGATGAGATTTCCAAACACAGTGTGGAAAATGTGGCCTGGTTTTCTCTTGCTGTTTATAGTAGAAAATGAGAGGAAAGAGATAATTGGAGGAAGAAACTATTAAGCAACATAGAACTTGATGACTTTGGAAATTCTCAGCCTATCCAGAATGCAAATGGCGAGAAAGCATGCTCTGGGGAGAACACCAAGAATCTGGCTAAACAGCCTTTTGTTATAGAGATTAGGTATGTGAGTGTGACCCATGGATTCAGTCAACCTTCTCAGCAGGAGCCAGAAATACAAGTGGGTTTATCCAGGAAAATCTGTGCAGGACCTTCTTGTCTGATGGGCCAGATCCCCATGAATTGCATAGGAAACCAATAATGTTTTTAAGAATGTTATATCAGCAGAAATACTGCCAACCTGGGCTTCAAGAAACAGAGGCAGGATAAAATGAAGGCTGTAGGACTTTCAAAATTCTATATGACTGCGAACATGTGTTATCTGTCAAGGAAAAGAAAAAATGATTCCTGCTGGGCACAGTGGCTCACATGTGTAATCCCATCACTTTGGGAGGCCAAGGCAGGCAGATTGCTTGAGCCCAGGAGTTCGAGACCAGCCTGGGCAACATGGTGAAACCCCATCTTTACTAAAAACACAGCAATTCGCCAGGTACCATGGGACACATCTGTAGTCTCAGCTACTCCAGAGGCTGAGGTGGGAGGATCACTTGAACCTGGAAAGCGGAGGTTGCAATAAGCCAAGATCATGCCACTGCACTCCAGCCTGGGTGACAGAGTGAGATCCTGCCTCATTAAATAAATAAATATATAAAAATAAAAACGTGTCAATTGAGGAAAATGATGAGACAAGTCTCAATAATTTTAGGAGATTTATTTACTGAAGTTAAGGACGCGTCCGGGAGATAGGTCTATGCTTTTCTCTGAAGATGATTTTGAGGGCTCCAAATTTAAAGGGGAAAGGGTGGGATATTGAGAAGCACACAGTTTTCATGTAAGAGGGGTTAGGGAAAAATAGTCATTTATGCCTTTTCCTGGCTCCGTGAATCTACATTTTTTTACATAAGATGACATAAACAAAAAGGGCAGAGGAAAAATGTGGAGAATCTGCATTTTACATCAGATAACACAGACAAAATGGACAAAATGGGGTCAGGGAACAGTCAGATAAGCATTTGTGTCTGGTGGGCCAGAGCGACTGCACCTGTAAAGATAAGCTATCAATTTGCATTGCCATGGTAAAGTTATAAGAGCTCACTAGGAATTTCCTTGTGGGCAAAATATAAGGCGGGCATGTAGCTTTTCATCTTGTAGTCATCTTATTTAGGAACCAAAACGGGGAGGCAGGTTTGCGTGACCCAGTTCCCAGCTTGACTTTTCCCTTGTAAATGAGTTTGAGGTCCCAAAATTTAATTTCCTTTCACACATGAATAAATGACTCCTGTAATAGGCTGAATTGTGTCTCCTCAAAATTCATATGTTAAAATACTTCAGAATGTGACTATATTTAGAGATAAGGCTTTTAAAGTAACTAAGGTAAAGTCAAGTAATAAGAGTGGTCCCTAATCCACAATGACTGGTGTCCTTATAGGAAGGGATTAGAATACAGATACACACAGGAGAAGGACCACGTGAGGGCACAGCAAGGTGGTTATCTGCAAGCCAAGGAGAGAGGCCTGGGGAGAAACCAACCCTCCTGACACCTTGGCCGTGGATTTCCAGCCTCTAGAACTGGGAGGAAAATAAATTTCTTCTGTTTAAGCCACTCAGCCTGTGGTATTTTCCTATGGCAGCTCTAGCAAAGTAATACAACTCAGAAGATAGTTCAGGAACCGGTGGGGTTCCTGCAGGCCCCGAGGGCAGAGCCTCTGAGGGCCAAAGAGCAGCGCACTGAACCACAGAGGATTATTCTCAGGCCTGAAACATGATGGAATTTGGCCTGCTCTGTTTTGAACTTGCTTGGAACAAATGACCCTTGTCCACTTATGTATTCCTTCCATTTTCTCCATTTCAGAATGAAACTGTTTATACTATGCCATTGTATTTGGGGAGAGGTAACTGGTTTTCTAGTTTCATAGATGAGGAATCAGGATAAATCATACCAAGAAACTCACATACACCTGATTTAGATGATTTAGATGATGATATTTAGGACTTTTTGACTCGATGGTATTTAAATGAGATTTGGAATTTAGAGTTAATGCCGGAATAGGTTCAGAAATTTGAAATGGGTTAAGAATGGGATGGATGTATTCTGCGTGTGGAAAAGACATGAATTTTGGGGGACCAGAGAATGGACTATAATGTGTTGAATTGCTCCCCAAAAAGGTATGTTCAAGTCTTCATCCTTCATACCTGTGAGTGTGAGCTTATTTGAAAATAGGGTCTTTGCAGATGTAATCAAGTTAAGATGAGGTCACATTGGATTACGGTAAACCCTAAATCCAATGACTGGTGTCCTCACAAGAAGAGGGCACACAGAGATTCACAGGAGACCCACAGGGAAAGAAGGTCATGAGAAGAGGGAAGCAGAGACTGGTGTGATGCGGCTATGAGCCAAGAAATACCAGGTGTTTCTGGAAGCCACCCAGTGGAAGTCAGGAAGAGGCAAGAAAGTATTCTTCCCTATGGCATTGGGATGCAGCAGGTGCCTGCTGACACCTTAATTTCAGACCTTTAGCCTCTAGAACTTCAAGAAAATACATTTCTGTTGTTTTAAGCCACCCAGCTTGTGGTAATTTGTTATGACAGCCCAGGAAACTAATGCAAACCTCTTATGGCTCTATAGAACCACGTGATTGTACGGCACTAAGATAATCTAACCCTTTATATTTCTGTTATCCCAGTTGTCTCAATTATTTGTGTCTTTATAGGGCTGCCTCTTATTTTTGCCCTAATTTTCTCTCCCTTCCCCCCTTTATGTCTTACATCTGCCCCGCCGTGCTTTTCTTAAAACTTTGCTCTGCCTCTTCTATCTTCTTTTCTTCCTTTTTCCTAATACTTTTTTTCTCAACAGGGTCTCCTTCCATTCCTGATGAAAATCTATTTTCTGGTTCTCTTGCCTATACAGGGTCCATCCTCTGGATGGGAGGAATATACTCCCCATCCCACTGAAGTCAGCTGTGGTCAAATGACTTATGTTGATCAATGAAATGTAGGCAGAAATGATAAGTATTACACCCAGGCAGAAGCTTCACAAACCAAGCATATTTTGCTGTATCTGTTTTTCTTCTGCCAAGGGAATTGGTCCATCAGCCTACACTCCAGAATAAAGACATGTAACAGAATTGCAGCAGACCTGCAATAAACATGTGGCAAGAATAGAAAAAAAAAAAAATTTGTTGTTGTAAGCATCTGATATTTGGGGATTACTTGTTACTACAGCATAACATGTTCTTCTTACACTCCCTAACATTCAATGAGAAAACTTTCCAGATCTCCCTTTTATCTAATGAATAAAGATCAAACTGCTTAGCCTGATATCTAAAATCCACTAGTCCTGGCTGGGCACCGTGGCTCATGCCTGTAATCCCAGCACTTTGGGAGGCCGAGGCAGATCACCTGAGGTCAGGAGTTCAAGACCAGCCTGGCCAACATGGTGAAAAAATACAAAAATTAGCCAGGCGTGGTGGCACACGCCTGTAATCCCAGCTACTTGGGAGGTTAAGGCAGGAGAATCGCTGGAACCCAGGAGGCAGAGGTTACAGTGAGCTGAGATTGGGCCACTGCAATCCAGCCTGGGCGACAGAGTGAGACTCTGTCTCAAAAAATAAAAAATAAAAAATAAAATAAAATAAAATCCACTAGTTCTAACCTATCTTTCTCCTTTTAGTTTCACTTATTTTGCTTCAAAATTTATTACTAAAAAAAGCAATTAATTACATTACACGTTATATTTAATTTTGTTAAATATATAATGTGTAGTGTAATTTTGTGAAATATAATGTGTAATGTATAAACATAATGTGTAATGTGTAACATAATAATGTCCACATTATATTTAACAAAATATTGTGCACATTTTGCTACTGTCTTACTCGTTAATTGCTCTCTGTGTATCAAGCCTATGCCTAAGACCAAATAGAGGGTATGACTAAACCCATAGAAGGGCTGGCCTGGGAAAGGATAGCTAGAATAAACTCCTGCAAGAGTCCATAGTCAGAAAATGACCCAGAGGGTTAATAATCAACACAGAACTGAGAGATCTGAAATTGTTCAGTGTCAAGTTATGATGGTACTGTGGGGGTAAGGAAATTCCACAGGCAGAGATCAGTAACTCACCTGGAATTGAGACCTCAAGATGGGTCCCAGAAGCAAGACCCACAGAGAACTAAATATCAAGGTATTAAAAACATAATGGGAAAAATATTTTAAGTGTAATGGGGTGTTATGGGCTGAATTATTTCCCCCAAAATTCATAAATTGAAGTTCTAACCCCCATTGTCACTATATTTAGAGACAGAGCCTTTAAAGAGGTAAATTAAGGTTAAATGAAGACGTAAACGTGAGGATCTAATCCAACAGCACTGGCGTCCTTATAAAAAGAGGCAGAGACACCAGAAGCACACATGCCCAGGGGAAGGACTGTGTGAGGACACAGTGAGAAAGTGACCATCCACAAGCCAAGGAGAGAGGCCTCAGGAGAAACCAACCCTGCTGGCACCTTGATCTTGGACTTCCAGCCTCCAGAACTGTGAGAAAATTAATTTCTGCTGTTTAAGCCACCCAATTTGTGGTATTTTGTTACGCCAGCCCTAGGAAACTAATACATTGGGTAATCAAGGAAGAGGGTCCTACAGGCCAGGTCCTGGCCAAGATCAATACAGACACTCTGTTTTTACTGCAGCTTTTTCACTCACCCATACTTACCTCCTTCCTGGGGATCTCCACTATTCCAAAAGAATCATGTGACCTCTGACAATGAGCATATGCCTTGGCTCTTGGACTCCTAATAGGCAGGAAGTACATCTTTGATATCACCCAGAGGCTTCTGCTATATGTAACAAAGAAGTTCTGTATATGCTTGAGGATTAATTAACGTGTTCTCTGCTCCTTCCCCTGAATTAGGGGTTTTTAACTTCATAGAATCCCTGAGAGGATACTGGGGGGGAGTTTCATAGATGGGTTTTAGGAGCTTGCCCACAGCTTTCATCAGATTCTCAAAGGGAATCCTAACACTAAAAGGTAAAAAAAAAGAAAAAAGAAAATCCATTTAGATGTTGACATCTGTCACATCCTCTGACCAACAGTGATGTTACGTCTCTTCATGTACAGTAACATAATGAGCTTTTTGTCAAACTTTTCCCAACCCATTTGGACGTCTCATACGTTTTCTAAATCTGATCTGTAGCTCCATCTGTTAGGTGAGTATTGTTGCAGGTTTATTGTCCTCAGCTTTCTGAACTGTAAACTATTTTAGAAAAAACAGCTTCAGAAACAATGAGAGTTTGAATATCTGCCAACAAACATTTCCAAATAAAGCTATACTGAAAAGACACCGCGAATTCAAAGGCCTTTTTTTATTCATTTTTCTCTCTTGTTTTGTTGTAAGAAATACAGTGGGTCTTTATTAATCATGTTATAAATTAATAAGACCTCCAATAAAACTGAAAGTCAAAATTCTCAAGCTTTGCCACCTACAAATGAACTCTCTAGGTACCTATTTACATTTAAGAGATGAATCCAGTTTGCTTTAAGTAATTACTTTTTAGGTTAACACAGTTACATAAGAAAATTTATTTTGATCATTTTACAGAAGCATAAAATATCAATTTTAGCAGAAAAAAATTTTAGTCGGGTAACTTTTTTTCCAGAGCCCTTTAAATGAAATTTTTTTCTACATTCTCGTTGAATTGATGTAATCACCTGAAATCAATCTTACAAAGCCATCTTAAATAAATGGGGAATGCTAGTTAGAATAAGAAGTTAATATTTTGGGTCCCCAAGAAAATTTTCTTTAGCCAACTAAGGCCAAATCCTCAGAAATGCTTTTCTTACTTATTCTGCAATAGTCTCACTGCTCCCAAGCCCCTTGGGAGACTTGGAAAAATGGTCTGTGTCTTCCACACTTCTCAGAGCAGATGTGCACAGAGGATGTGCACACCAGGGAGAAGCATGGTCAAACACTGCCCACCCCTTTATCCTTCCTCCGAGGAGATTGCTCAACCCCTAGACCTTGGCTAAGGAAAAACATCCTATTGTCTGAGGCAAAAAGACATCAAGTCCTTTCATGCTGTCCTGGGAAAGGCGGTTTGGAACAAGTTATCCTGATTCTAGAGACGTGAGTGTTCCCAGCTGCACCGTGACTTGTTTTTGGCTCCTAGGCAAAGTGCCCAGTTTCCTCTGCTCCCAAATTTCTCCAACTGCAAAGTAGAGATAATCCTTGTTACCTTTTTCTTGCAGTGTTCTGAAAATAAATAGGGCAAATAATTCTAAAGTGTTTTGAGAGATTTGGCTGAGGGCATATTTGCCTAGAAATGTAGGTGGGGGTTTTTGGTTTATTTTGGTTTTATTTTGTTTTTGTCAGTGTTTTTGCTTTTGGCCAGACGTTGGCATGCATTTAGAAAATCTAAATTAAATTAAATTAAATTATAATTATTCATCTGATGATAATGGAACATTTACAGGATGCAAAGCACTGTGCTAGGCACCAGGAGAATGCAGAAAGGGCACATCCCCTTCCTTCAAGGAGTTTACAGCTTTCTCAGAAGCAGGTATGATATATATATGTGTCTATATCACATAATAGAGGGATTATAGATAAGTTACACAAGTGTGGCTGTCAGCCATGGTAGCTGATTTGGAATCCCATCCTGTAAGTTACAGTTGGATACCCTAGAAAAAACACCCTTACTAAGCTTTGGTTTCCTCTTATGTAAATGATAATAGCTAACATTTATTGAGTGTCTGCTACGTGGCAGGGGTGTTCTATGCAGTTTATCATGTTAACTAACTTAAAACTCAGAACAATTGCAGAGATAGATATTATCATCATTTCCATATGTATATCCCTGTCTTATAGATAAAAGCACTGATGCTTTAGAGAGGTTATATAACTTGTCCCGGGTCATAGTTAGGAAGTGGTGAAGATAGGATGCAAATCCAAGCTGGCTGGCCTCAAATTCTGCCAATCCAACCACTGTATGACACTACCCCTCAAATGGGAACACAGTAAAACTTACCATGCGTAGTGAGGATCAACTGATAATAACGCATAAAAAGCTGTTAGCACAGTGTCTGACACATAATAAATGTGTGATAAATGTAGAAGTAGCAGTAGAAGAGATTAGACACATACAAACAACCAGAATCCCGGGCCAAAAATAAGTGCACACCTCCATTCTTTTTATGGGAAACCTCCTTCTTAGATACCAACCATTATAACCATGGAGTTACAGTGGAGAGCTGTGTTGAGGGGAGAACTGCAACATTTCTGAATCAGCATACAAGTGATCTATAATATAAGGAGCAATCATTTTTATATATGTCCATTTCCAAATCTCATTCAAAGAAGGTTAAGGTATCTGAAGTACCCTTCTATTAAAATTCAGACTGTATTTGCTAGAACAATTTCCAATTGAGCAACGTAAAAATGCATCTGCTGCCATTTCTCTTCTTCCCTCCTTTAATCCCTACTCCCCAATTTCCTTTAGAAAGAAACAACAGCATGGAGTTTCTTTTCAAGGTCTTAAAATAAAAATCTCCAAAAAAGGGATGCTGCTTATAAAACCTTTCAGAGTTGTTTGAAAAAGAAAAAAAATGCATAAAGAGCCAAGTGCTTATATTCTGGCCAAGTTATGAGGCTCTGAGAACAAGAGCTTGAGGGGAAGACTGTTAACCCCATCCACGCCACCAGAATTAGCTCTTTCCCTTTTGGTTTGCAAGCACTGCCTGTAAAGCCCTCGCATGAGAGGCCAGCCTGCTAGGGAAATCCAGGAATCTGCAACAAAAACGATGACAGTCTGAAATACTCTCTGGTGCCAACCTCCAAATTCTCGTCTGTCACTTCAGACCCCCACTAGTTGACAGAGCAGCAGAATTTCAACTCCAGTAGACTTGAATATGCCTCTGGGCAAAGAAGCAGAGCTAACGAGGAAAGGGATTTAAAGAGTTTTTCTTGGGTGTTTGTCAAACTTTTATTCCCTGTCTGTGTGCAGAGGGGATTCAACTTCAATTTTTCTGCAGTGGCTCTGGGTCCAGCCCCTTACTTAAAGGTAAGTTGTAATAAATTTACGGCATTATCTAATTGCATTTGTTAAGCTGATTTGCGTGATCTGATAAAGCTGTCAAATATTTTTGCCTAAATAATACAAAGCCATTTATTTACCAAAAAAAGTTTTGTGTGATTTACAGAAAAGATACTTCATAGAGAATTTTACCATTTGTATTCATGTTTTCTTGTTTCCTGCGAAATTAAATAGCAAGTACTAATAAATGATGGTGATTTTAGTGAAGACCAAGAATAGAAATGTGGAACTGTTGATCGCCTCAGTAGCATTCAGATCTTAGTGAAGCCTGAATCCTGAAATGTGTTTTGTAGAAGTACTTTATTACATATATGAAATAAACTATAAAGAAGGTAGTTTTTAAAAAAAATTTCAAATCAAATAATTTGTATGTTTTCCATGTTTAAATTATCTAAAGTTATTCAATCTCCTGAGCCTAACAGCAATGTAGAAACGGAACTTTTTGCTTTTCCAAAAGGTAGGAAAATTTCTCCTTTTATACTATATTCTTGTTTGATTATTTTTAAGTTATTGCGATTATTTTCCCTTTCTTGGTTCCCTTTTACAGCTTTATAACTAATTATTTTTTGCCTCCTACTATCATTTGTTAAGATGCTCACACATAGACCTAAAATTTCTCTAATTCTTGATAATGTCTTATTTACAAAAGCAAAAATGGGAGAAGAGAATTAAAGAGCTAAAGAGATTATGGTAACTCATATTATAATGTACTACCATTTCTGGCTCTCTTTTCTAAAATAAAGCAATAATGTAGGTTGTGCTTATTCATCCTTCCCAGGTATTAAAGGTCACTCTGCAAGAGAAAAAAAGAAAAGAAAGGAAAAGAAAAGAAAAAAAAACATGCTTTTAACTGCAGATCAATACTGTTGAAACAGTACACCAAGAGGTACTGCAGAAAGAGTATCTCTTTTGCACTGCCTTTAATCTGCAAAGAGGTTAAATATGTCACCTTGGCATTGTATCTGAGCTCTCCTCTGGCCCAGGGCCTAAGCACATTGAATAGAAATGTTCACTCAGTCCAAGTCAGCAGAAATCTTTTTTTTTTTTATTCTCCCCTTTCTCGTAGACACCAGCTTTTTTCAGTTCACAGCTTACTCAGTCAAACCTGATGGTTGTGACTATTGTTAACTATGATTTTTTTTTTATTCAAAACACCCTCTTTGGAAAGATTTAAGTTAATATTTCTGTTCATTTAATAAGATCTAGCAAAGCAGAGCAGTTTATTTCATCTACTTATCGTCCAATCAACTAGTGCCACTTTCCACATTTTGGAGAAGAATATTCACATGTTATTTATGAACCTTGCCTTTTTCTTTCAGAGAATTTTTCACACAGCCATTGAGCAATTAGAGTGCTGGCATTTCCTTCCTAGGTCTTTTGAGATTTAATCCCCAGTAGCTCCTCATGGCACAGATTCACATATCAACTAAGTAAAAATAATAGTGATGACAGAAATAAAATGAATAGTGATGCATCTGGACAACTTGAAAACATTATTTATTTCATTTCCTCTTGACTGTTCTTTTTACTCAGTTGACTTAAACACTGCTATTTTACTTAAGTTTAGCACCATATCCAGAACTGGTTGGGAACATTTTTCTACCGAGAAGGGCATAAACAACTTGTTAGAAGATCTGAAGTGCACATAGTCCTCACTTATCCCTCTAGAATGATCTTCAGTGGAGAAGGAGACCCCCATAAATAAATCCAGTAGAACTTCCCAGTAGGCCTGGCTTCCTGAGAGATGTCCAACCAGGCCAGGGTCTGTTTCTTACGGGGCTCACAGGGCATCTTCTGCCAAAGGCTGAGTTAGCGATGATAGCATTACCTAGGGCTAGCCTGGCTTTTGTCTTAGTCATCAAAAGATGGATAGAACTTTGAAAAACAGAGTGCATGGTCTTGATGATTGTTCCAAAGGTGGGGAGGCAATCTAATAAAGTGAATAAGGCCATGACCTGTGGTTTATATCTGACCATATGGACCCTGTTTATATAAGACCGTGGTTTATATCCAAGCTTTACCACAAAATAGCTCTGTGACTTTGGGCAAACAACTTCATCTCTTTGTGCCTCAGTCTCTTCATTCATGGAAATGGGATTATAAAATCAGTAGCTACCTCAGAGATTTGTTGTAAGAATTAAGTGAAGAAAAGAGCCATGTTTGGTACATTAAAGCAATCAATCAATCGTAGATAATATGAAAGTACTGGACTAACTATATGTCCCTATTGAAACTCCGTAGAACGGGAACTGACTCTAGATATTTTCTCAGGGTTTCTTCCTTGTACTTATACGTTTTGCTCTATAATAAAATATGAATGCCAGGTGTATGCCTCTGAGGCAGCACAGCAGAGTGGACAGAGCATGGGCTTCAGAGTCCAATGCATCTGGGCTAGAATCCTGACTCTGCTTCTTACAATCAGTGTAAGCTTTGGCAGTTACTTCCCACCTGCATGACTCAGTTTACTCATCTGTTTAGCAAAATGGGGATAATAATACACACAAATGAGGTCGTTGTAGGAATGAAATGTGATGTTTATTAAATGCCAAGTATAGCACCTGGCAGAGAAGTAAACACATAGGAAAGTTGACTGGTTGCTCATAAGGAATCTCGTATATCAGTGAGGCCTCTGTTACATACTTGCAATGATTTCTCTGGTAGTAACAATGGAGATCAAGAAGGAAATATTCTTTGAATTGCCTTTTTTATCCAAAGAAATGTAAAAGTAAATCGGACACTACTATTTTCCCCTGGTGGGGGGCCTCAACACGAGGTATTTATTACTATGAGACTTCACTGCTGCATCAGTTAGTAGCTTCTTAATGGCCAAGTCAAAGGAAACCAAAGAAAGTGTTCTATGCCAGCTTGCCATTACACAGAGTGAGAAGAAATGCTGCTTTGCTGTCAATTCTGTTTTATTGGCCCACTTGGACAAGAGGGAAAGCCCCCAACATTTCTTCTTTCTTATCTCTTCTAAAGGCAAGAATAGGGCTTTTGACTTGCTCCAGGGGATATTTTTTCCTCTCTAACTGAAATTCAAGTGAAAGAGTCTTTTTTTTGTTTTTTTGTCTTTGTTTGGTGTTTTTGTAAACCTCTCCCCTATGTTCCTAGCATTGAAATGTAAGCTGCTTTTTCTGGCTGCATGTAGCAGGAGCAGGCTGTCGTCATAGCAATGAAAGGGTGTAGAGAGACTCCTGCTTCATGACCTGCTCTGGGAAATAACTCTTAGTCTGCTTTAAAATCCTTCTTTAGAAATGAAGTCTCCAGTCCTGGCTTGTTTCCTTCCTATTACACAACCAACTTATGTACACCCATTGCAGTAGCTAAATGTTTCCTTTAAAGATTTAGTGAATAGGTATTTTAAAAATCAACAAGAGAGCTGCTAAAACAGTGGCTAGTTTACTGTGGCATACAGGGGAAAAACAACTGGGAAGGCAAAGAAAGAGAAATAGAAATGGCCTCACATGATACACATACTGCAGCAAACCCTGCAATAAATCCATTTTTCAAGTTCCCACTGCTTCCTCCCATCTTCACGATGTGCTATGGTGTAGTGGTTATAGAGGGGAATTCTGGGGCAGACTGCCTGGACTTGAATCCTGGCACTCATACCTTCTAGTTGTTTTAATCTAATCCATTCTGTGCCTCTGTCTTCTCATCTGTGAAATAGATATAATAACAGTCATAAAATTGTCATGGGAATTGAATGAGATTGAGCATGTAAGGCATTTATTACAGTATCTAACCCATGGTAAAGGTTGGCTGCTAAGCTCAGGAGCCTCAGTTTCCCCCACTTGTGAAATGTGGATAACAGCTAATTCATAAGATCATTGTATTTTTTTTTTTTTTGAGACAGAGTCTTGCTCTATTGCCCAGGCTAGAGTGCAGTGACATGACCTCAGCTCACTGCAACCTCCACCACCTGAGTTCAAGTGATTCTTGTGCCTCAGCCTCCTGAGTAGCTGGGACTACAGGCATGTACTACCATGCCTGGCTGATTTTTGTTGTTTTAGTAGAGATGGGGTTTTGTCATGTTGGCCAGGCTGGTCTCAAACTCCAGGCCTCAAGTGATCTGCTTGCCTCAGGCTCCCAAGGTGCTGGGATTACAGGTGTGAGCCACCATGCCAAGATGATCATTGTATGATTAACTAAAATAATGAATGTACATGCTCAATAAGTAGTAGTTATTACAATTCTTTTTCATGGTTTTGTTATTGAAACAGCAAGGTTCCAGTCTAGGTCCTGCTGCTCACTTCGTAGAAAGCCAATCACTGAGACAACAAGTATTGCCAATGAAGAAGGCTTTAATCAGGTGCTGCAGCTGAGGAGATGGGAGCACAGTCTCAAATCCATCTCACTAACTGACTTAAACTAGGGGTTTACATAGCAAGGGAAAAATGTAACAATGTGTAAGAAAATAAGAACTAGGTAGGGGTAAGGAAACAATCATGGTGAATAAGCGGTCAGGCATCTGCTGCAGTGATCTGGTGAGTTTCCATTCTTTTATACTTTTTTAGAAGCCTGAAGGTCCTGTCCTGAGGAAGGAACTTAGATAAAACAAATATAAGTTTCACACTTTAAGACCAGGAGGGTCAACTTCTATGTTTTTCAAAAAGATCTGTCTGTGGGACTATTGGGTAAGTTTCAGTTTGATCTAACTCTGACATGAATGGCCTTTTTGAACTTAGAATTCCCAGTGAGTCAAATATAATGAATAGAGGCCTCAGAATTATCATTGCATAAATGTGAACCATTTGATTTCTACAGGGGGAAAAAAAAGAATTGTGACTTTTTACATTTATAAAGACTCATCTCATCTTGATTAACACCAGGGTAAAAAGTATTAAAACATCTTATCTTTCATTAACTTTTTATTACGTTTCTGTTTCAGTTCCTCCAGTGTTTTCTAGGTCATGCAATTATGAAAATAAGTTAGCATTTTTATCTTACATCTCAAACAACTAATGTATTCAGTGTTCTATCCCATGCAAAATTCCAGAAATGCAGCAAGGAGCAAAACTAGAGAGGGGCTGAGCTCTTGTGGTGCTTACTATGTAGTTATGAAAATGGTCATTAATCAAACCATCACAATAATGAAAACTGCATAGGACCAAACATAAGGTGCCCCCAAATACAATGCCATCTTCATCTTTCTAGTGAGAACATCCTCAACCAAAGTGTTTGGCCAAACAGCATGTACAAATGGGTAATATATTGTAATGTACACTTGGGATATTTAATCTATGGTTCACATACATATTTAATATGTTACTTTAATTTAAATATTTTATACTTATTAACATGACTTTTTCCTTTCTCACATTTCATGAAACAATTTTGTTAAAACTCTTCATACGCATCTTTAACACCAATGTGTATGTTCACTGGATCCACGCTGTAATTATCTAATACAGAGCACATCATCAATCCTTCTGCAAGTTGCTAAACATCTGCTGATGCTGCAAATTTAATCCCCAGGCATTAGTCCTCACTCGTGGTCATGTTCTCCACACTTTCATTACTGACTAGATTGTTTTTCCAGTGCTTTTTAAAGGGCGTATTTAAAAACCACTTGAAACTGTAAGTGTGGCTTTCTAAAACTATGTGATTCCAACTTGCAATAATGAAGTCATACCTCAGGAATAATGACTAAACCTGCTTTAAATATCTTTATCTATTTTTTCATCCATTTTGTCAAGGTGACCTTCCTAAGAATAAAAATAAGCATTGCTTGAGATTTTTTTTTTTTTTGAGACAGAGTCTCATTCTGTCACCCAGGCTGGAGTGCAGTGGTGTGACCTTGGGTCCCTGCAACCTCTACCTCCTGGGCTGGAGCAATTCTTCTGCCTCAGCCTCCTGAGTGGCTAGGATTACAGGTGTGCACCACCACGCCTGGCTAATTTTTTGTACTTTTAGTAGAGACAGGGTTTTGCCATGTTGGCTAGGCTGGTCTTGAACTCCTGACCTCAGGTGATCACCCACCTCGGCCTCCCAGAGTGCTGGGATTACAGGCATGAGCCACTGTGCCCAGCTCTTGAGATGATTTCTAATTGTTTTTTTGAATAGTACTTTGCTGCTCAAAATGAAGAAACTTTGGAAGCACTTGAATATAAGTCAAATCCCTCTTTTTTACGGCAGGATTTGGTGGCGTGAGAAAAAACACATTTTATTTGAACACATGCCATATATAATGATACACTGAAATAAGTGTTATGAAGGCAAAACACCTTTGTTCCAAGAGAGTATATAAGGATCCTGACCTCCACTCAGGATCAATAATGGCTTTCCTTGATCTGAAGTCTGAATAGAGGTTAACTCTGTGTGTGTGCGTGTGTGTGTGTGTGTGTGTGTGTGTGTGTGTGTGTGTGTGTTTGGTGGTGGTGGCTGGGAGGAGCGGGTGCTGGAGAGAGAATTCTGACAGCGTGAACACTTGTGCAAAGACCCTGGAGCAAGAGGGATCGTGGCCTATTTGAGGCACTGAGAGGCAGCCAGCTCCCGAGAGCAAGGGCAGAGCAGTGGAAGATGTAAATCTCCATAATACTCCCTTCCCTGAGCACTAAATGTATGTGCCCTTTGCTTGATTCAGGTTTAATGTATACTTTTAACGTCTGGATGGATTTCTGGTTAGTCTCAAAGCCCCAACAGGCATGACCATGTCTATCCCTAGCTCAGACTCTTATGGTGGTAGGTTCAATTAGGAAGGATGATGGGCAGTTGAAGGTCAGATGCCCAGAAAAGTCTTAAGTCATTGACTCTGAGTATATCATATACACTCACAGGGCTGGGACACCTTGATGTCAGATGGTGACTCAGCAGAGAACTCAAAATAGAAGAACGTCTTTTTCACCCTTCAGATGACTTTAGGGCCAAACCATAGAGCTCTCCCCAGAGACTCATTAATACTTTAAAAGCTCTAAAGCATCAGTGTTAACACTGGATCAGGTAACAGCACGTATATGTTAGCCAAAATATGACTAAGAGATTTGCTCTCTGATAACAAGGCCTTTGACTATTATGTAAAAACAAGGTGAACAGGAACGTTCTGAGTCTGTTTATAAAGTACCTATAATAATTGTTTTGTTTACTACATTTCCCAGAAAGGAAATTTTTCCATAGTTGTAATAATTGCTAAAAATAGCAGTCTACAGGCTTCCTCTGATATAAACAAATTCAACAGAAGATACCTGGCCTTATTTGGATGCATGGATGTACATACTCCAGGAAATGATAGGCCAAGAGTAATAAGAAAAAGAAAGTAACAAGACAAACCTCTCCTTTTTCTAGTACACATGGTATGTCTTTCTTAGTTCATTAAACTTTAGACAAAGTGATAAACAGATCAAGTTGTCATCATCTGCCTTGAAACCCAAAAATATTGAAACAAGTTCCCTAGGCCCAGAAGGGAAGGAAGAGGACTTGTAAATTTTGCTGAGGCTGCCACAGAAGGAGCTAACCACTGGAGGGTTCAGACTGGAGGGTTCAGAAACCAGGGGAATGCTAGGCAACACAAGGAAAATTCAATTAGAAAGACTTGAAGCAATAACTACCAGCACTAAAATTTCCAGGGAGTCACTGATGTGGCCAATATGAAAGAGGAATCCTGTTCCTCCTTTCAGAGGTATGGATGACTGCGTTTACAGTCTGGTTCAGTGTTCAGACAGCTTATTAATGCTTAAGAGAAAAGGAAAGAGAAGGAAGATAGAAAGAAGAAGTACAGCAAGGCAAGAAGTGCCCAGGGGAGCAGGTGTGCTAAGTTGATTTAAGTGGCATGGCAATATACAGAACTTCAAAAATAAAATTTATCTTTTAAAATTTAAATGTAAATTAATGTTCTAAAAAACTATAGGAACTGAAAATAAATCAAATACAAATATCTACTTCGACCTAATCTTACTGTAATTTAAGTTTCTAGGAAATATCATAGAAACTGAAGTGGAACCAATTACAGAAAAAGAATGCAAAATAAACCATAGTACCGAAAATAAAAACATATTCTGGTCGTTTGTGTAGGTTCCCTAATAAATCTAGACGGAGAATGATGTTTTTGTGTTTTAGTGTATGCCAAACTTTA
The DNA here is from genome assembly GCF_000001405.40 of Homo sapiens. Classification (NCBI taxonomy): domain Eukaryota; kingdom Metazoa; phylum Chordata; class Mammalia; order Primates; family Hominidae; genus Homo; species Homo sapiens. The sequence continues at coordinate 87,520,940 of NC_000004.12, read as the reverse complement.
GACACCCTCCTCTTTTCTAGGAGATACAAATTTCAGGAGCGATATTTAGCTATTACACACATAGCTTTTCATCAGAGATGGGGGTAGCTGACACACACATGGCCCATTCTGCCCATACCTTTCAGGTCAATCTCTGATGGCTTGGCTGGGCTGTTTCCAGCTAGCAGAAAGGATATTCAGGCCCCTTTTCCTTGCTTTTCCAGGGACAGAGCTTGTAGAGTGCTGAGAAATCCAATTACAACTTCCTTTCATGGTGAAATCCAATTACAACCTCTCCCATGGTGAAAGCCAATCTTTTTGATACAAAAGGAAACTAAACAAAAGGGCTTCAGGCAGGGGATATGCTTGTGCTCTGCCTTCTCACTTTGACAATTATGCAGGAAGGTTGCAATGACCTTGGCTTGCCTTGCTTAGGAACAAAAGTCATAATCTTCTACCCCCTACTCCCACAAAAAGGAAAAACGTTTTCATATCTGATTCCAGGAGTTTGGGGAGTTTCCTCAAGGATCCATTAGTCAGGCAAAGCAAATTTTGAGCCAACACTTGCTCCCTCCCACACACTTTTTTTTCCGGCAAGATGACTTTTCTTATTGAACTTGGAATGCCATGTTAAATGATAAATAAATTAGTGAATTATTTAGGCCAATATCCTCCCATAATCTGTTCCCAACAACTTTTTTTTTTTTTTTTTTTTGAGACAGTGTCTGGCTCTGTCACCCAGGCTAGAGTACAGTGTGCAGTGGTGCAATCTCGGCTCACTGCAACCTCCGCCTACCCAGCTCAAGTGATTCTCCTGCCTCAGCCTCCTGAGTAGCTGGGACTACAGGCACCTGTCACCACGCCTGGCTAGTTTTTGTATTTTTAGTAGAGATGAGGTTTCACCATGTTGGCTGGGCTGGTCTTGAACTTCTGGCCTCAAGTGATCCACCCACCTCGGCCTCCCAAAGTGCTGGGATTACAGGTGTGAGCCACCGTGCCTGGCCTGTTTCTGCTACCTTTGTGATATCCAATGCTGTGTGTCACCCTTTCAGCCAACCTGTTTGCTTGAGGTTAGTGAGACTGTAGTACTGCTTGGAGAGGGGTCATCCTAAATTCCTAAAACCTGGTTGAGATAAACGGAAACAGTTCTCAAAACAGTAATTTATGAAAATAGATATTTTATGAGTACTTGACACAAGTCTATAATTGCTGAGATATTTAAAAATAAAATTACTAACCACATTCTATTCAAATCTCTGTCACTTCTGTATAATCACTGTACTCCACTGAATGTGTGTAAAATATGTATTTGCAGCTTATAGGGAAAAAAATTTGCAAATTTTCAGAAGAATCATGCAGTCAACTAATAGGTTCTTAGTTGAAGATTAGTGGAGTGGGGAGTGGTAAATGGTTATCTTTTTCAAAACTTAGGACAAACTTTACACTAGGTTCAAATAAAAGTGCTATGGCTACAGAGTTAATGAACCCACCATTCAAAGTGGCCCTAAATAGCTCTGAAAGCAAAGCATTTTTACATTATTTGATTCAACTTGAGTTATCTAATTGCCTATATAATATGATAGGGACCCAGGCCGGACACAATGGCTCATGCCTGTAATCCCAGCACTTTGGGAGGCTGAGTCAGGTGGATCACTTGAGGTCAGGAGTTCAAGACCAGCCTGACCAACATGGTGAAAACCCGTCTCTACTAAAAAATATAAAAATTAGCCGGGCGTGGTTGTGTGCACCTGTAGTCTCAGCTACTCAGGAGGTTGAGGCAGAAGAATTGCTTGAACCCGGGAGGCGGAGGTTGCAGTGAGTAGAGATCAGCCACTGTACTCCAGCCTGGGCAACAGAGCAAGACTCCATCTCAGAAAAAAAAAAAAAGATAGGGACTTGATAGGAAGGTACCCTGAGATATACAAAAATCAGAAGAATTGACCTTTATGATAGGTAAATAAAACATGTAAATGGTTTCATGACGTGTTTGGTCAGATGTTCATGCTGTCTTAGCTCATTGAAATCATTTTTAACTTTCAAGCCATTAGTTCAGTGGATCCTCCCAACCTTTTACTGGGGACCAAACAATTTTGAGCTAATTCTCTCTAAATCAAGGGAGTATTCTATTAGAATTCAGAAGAAACAAAGCACAAATTCTTAACCCTAAGTGTCTTCTTTTTCTCTCTTTTTCTTCCCTGTTGCCCAACTCCAGCTAATGGGTTTTAAGGACTTTATAATGAGAAGCAGGTTAATGTCTTACTAGAAAAACTTTTCAATAATTTCCTAAAATATGGGGAGAAGAAAATAGTGGAAGATGTTGTTATAAAATAGAAAAATGCTTGGTTGAAACCTTGGTACTCGTATTGATCTTGTACTCATTAGCTTTTTGGATAGGCATAGGCGGGGAAGAGAAGTATCAGCATCATCTCACTGATAAAAACAGCTGATGTCTTCTTACAGTCTGAAAATGAAGCCATTGATTTCAAAAGCAAATGTTTTATTATACTTTGAAAAACACTCTGGATTGGATCATTCAAGGTTATGATAGCCTGAGATAACTGCAGCCTCAAACTCCCGGGCTCAAGCAATCCTCCTGCCTCAGCCTCCTCAGTAGCTGGGACTACAGGCACGAGCCATTAAGCCTGGCTTGAGGGGAAAAGTCTTTTCCCATGGTGGGAGGAGAAGAATTAACAGCTGTGGACCAGCTGTGGGCAAGCTGTGTCTTTTCCTTGCTTGAAGGCATCTTCTTAACATTTTCTCTCTGAAGGCATAAATAAGCTTCCAGGTTTTCACCCTATTTTCAAAGAACTTTTCAAACTCTAGCCTTAAAATCCATTAGGGTTTATTACATCTGCTTCTTTCAGAAAAGGTAGATAATAAGTAACTTTGCACCACTGAGGTAAGCAAGCAATTGTTTCCCATATTAAATGTGTTGGCCCTCACCAAGGTACATGAGAAGCTTGGACCACGATCTGAATCCTAAAGGGACTTCTGCTGGGACTGAATGCTTGCATTAGCGGTTCACACAAGAACTAAATGCTCATCAAAGTACACCATTATTCCCCAGAAGGTCCCAACACCATGAGAATGAGGCTACTTGGAACTGTTCTTTGGTATTATTTGTTGTTTTTCTTAATCCTAGAAGAGAACTACCCCCCAATAAATAATTCTTGGTCCATTCACAGAGCTGAAAGCACTTGAAATTCCTCTCCCAACTAGCAGAATTTAACAACTGACTTACTCTGTTAGCAAAAGAGAGGCAATTTCCACTGAATCCAAAGGAGTTTTATATTATACTGGTAGAGTTTAACTAATAAGGGAAATTCAAATAAGAGCAGTCAGAGGATAAAGCCAAGAACTAGGCATTCAGGGGAAAGAAATTACAGGGGTAGTAGAGAAACAAATAAATTAAGGGGTAGGGAGAAGAGTTAAAGGCAGAAAAAGCAGAGGATTAATCTATCTGATAATTACAGGGGCTAGGCTTTAAAAGGTGTATTGTCTTACTATTAACAACATGAAGCCAATCATTCAGATATTATTAAGTTACTGCAACGTCACAAACGCCAGGACTTTAGGTGAGCCATCCTAAGAGCAGATTCAGGGTTTGTGAAGCCAAGAGTTTATACATATGTTTGGAACCTTCTTTTTTAAAAATATAAAAGTCAAAATCAAGTCTAGAACTTTGTATGGAGGCTGCACAAGTGAGGGGCCTTGAAACTCAAGCTTCCTAGTTTTATGGCACGTCTATCCTGGCCATATTCAAATGTCTATACCCCAAATACAACAAAAAGTTCAGAAAAATAAATAAATGTAAATATGAGAAAATCCTGTGTTCTCTTTCTCTGAGAAAGAGAAAATAGTAGCACAGATACCATAGTAGGACTTGAGCAAAGAAAAATAAATATGGCCAAAATAATGTCTCCCACTATAACACAGGACAGGGTGTGGTGGACCCTTTCTGAAGGATTGGCAAATGTCTGAGAAAAAGAACAGGCAACTGTCTCCCTGGATGGATCCATCCCATCTGGAGCTCTGGAATGAGACACAGTGAGATTAGTGAGTGGTATGATAAGACGAGAAACTCTGAAAGGCATGATTAAGAGATGGTGAAAGGTGGCTATTGCACAAGCTTGGGTAAGATAAGCCTGGGGGATCCTCTAAATATAATTAAAGTAATCCCTCAATTACACATTATAGAAAAGGAGGAATGGACTAGTTTCGCCTGAGCAAGAAAGAAACAGACCTTTAAGAATGTGTCTGAAAAGCTGTGCCTCCGGGTGCCCTTTGGCTTCCATGCTCCTCACTGCTGACCAGGCACAGTGGCAAAGAGGGATGGTCAGGAAGCACTCACTGAATGGTAGTTCTGTGAAATGGAGGTGAGGGTCACAGATGGGAGTGCATGGATGGTACACAGGTGAAGTGCTTAGCATAGAACCTGGCATATAGTAAAATCTCAGGAATGTATATGCCATTGAATGAGCTACTATTAAATGGTCTAAGACAAAAATGTACTTTTTCAATAAAATAATACTTTGATGACCATAAGTGATTCTACTACTGAGTACATTTGAGTGCTATTCCACACAAAAATATTTAATGTTTACAGCCAATTATATATGGCTTCTTACAAACTCAGTGACTCAAAGCAACTGTTTCATAATGTCTCGAGATCTGGTGGGTCAGAAATTTGGGCAGGCCTCTCAGAGGTACTCAGCTAGGAGATGAGCTGATCTGGAGTGGCACAGGATCTCTCCACTCACGTGTCCTGCGCATTTGCAAGGACAGATGCAAAGCTGGGATTGGTAGAACTGTTGAAGTGTCTTCTGTGACATGACAGACTCAGAAAATGGCTCAAGGCTCCCAAAATGAGTTTTCCAGGAGATTAGGTAAAAGTTCCAAGGTTTCTTATGACCTAGCCTCAGAAGTCCCAGAACATCATTTCTATCTCAATCAATTGGCCAAGTAAGTCACTAAACCCAGTCCAGATTCAAGGGAAGGAGAATTAGACTCCACCTCTCAACAGGAGAAATAGCAAAGAATTTATAGCAATCTCTACCATAATATTTATACCTATTAAATAAGAAATGTAAGAAATTGTCTCAAGGCAGTTACTCATGTGAGTTAGAATAGAGTTGACATTTGTGGGTGTTTGGCTCTTAATGGGAGACCTATTTCTGCCATGACAAATGATTCCTCTGGAGATTTGTTTTAATGGTACATGGGTCAGCCAATAGAAAAACTCTAGGCATTTGAAATTCAAATGCTGGATGTTCTCTATAAAATGCTGTCTAGCTATCATCTTTTAAAATTCCAGCTGAGGTTCTCCTGAAAGTTTGGTAATGAGACACCCTGTTCCTAACAGAAGGAAAGGGCTCTCCTTCCAGTTACCTATCATCCCTCATCTTTAACCTCTCTAAATCCATAAAAAGAAACAGTGGGATGAAGAAAAGAAAGAAATAACCTAAGGACTCTAGTAAAGGGATGAATTAAAGTGTCTGAATTATTCATTATTGGGGTTATTAAGCCATTTTCTGCCTTATGCATGTTTCAAAGATATGATAACATCTTTCATTTCATTTTTACAGTTGGTGAAATTACCAAATAACTATAGGATCACATTTGAATCTCAAAACAACTCCAGAAGATAGATAAGAAAATGTAATATTACCTTTCCTGTTTTGTAGATGAAGAAACCAGTGACTTGATCAAAGTCTCTTAGCTGGTAAAAGGCAGTTCAAGTCTGGAACTTAGATCTTCCAGTTCCGTACCAACTGTCCTTTAAACTATGCAGCTGCCTTTGAATAAGCTCACGCATTTGAGCAAAATAATATTGATTTAGTTTCACATCAATACTGCATATTTAAGTCTTTGAGAATAATAATTCTGTGAATTCCAAAATTTGTCTCATTTTTGCATTTTTCATCTGGAGTTTTATTTTCTATTTCTGCAAAAATAATCTGTATTTTGTAGTCAGTGCACACCAAACTCGAATGTCTCAAAATAAATGACTTTTTACTCATCCAAGAATAAATGGTATTCATCATACTTAGCAAGGACATCATGGTTTTGATTTTTCAAAGTACTTTGCAAGCATCAGCTAATTAAGCCTCCCTGAGTCTTCAGTATGACAGTTGTTTTCAAAATATCTCTCATTTCCCAGGAAAGTTCTCCATTCTGTCTTATTTATACAATCAGCACATTTGCTCAGTTCTTAAAATAAGAAGCTAAAGGCCATGAAATTATTTTTGATCAATATGTGGCAAATACAATTAGCTCAGTGAGACAAAAATGCCCAGTGACTAGTCTAAAGGACAACGTGGAACACAATGGAAGAACACAAGGCGTTTTAAAGTCTAGATACTGGATTGTCCCACAAGGTCCTTCAAAAATAAAACACAGGCATCTTCTTTATAATTGAAACTTGAAGGGGTTTCCTGCTTGGATCATTCTAAATGACATGACCATACTCTGCGTTTAAATTTTGTTTTCAATTACAGGATGGAAAAAAACTCTTAAAAAATAGTTCCATCTTTGGACTCAGTAAAAATCAGGGACCATTCAGTAAATGTTGGCTCTCAAAAAGCCTGCACAAGTGGCCATCTGAGGTTATATGACAATCCCTAGACTTGTTCTATGCCTTAAAATATCTTCCATACAGCTACGCCAGGATTCTCAGCATTCGATAGCTCTTTTTGGGTTAAGAACAATGTGAACATACCTCTTACCTGAGAATAGAAATACATTAATTCAGGAATAATCTTTTTTCTTTTTTTTGAGATGGAGTCTCACTCTATTGCTGGAGTGCAGTGGCTCAATCTTGGCTCACTGCAACCTCCACCTCCTGGGTTCAAGAAATTCTCCTGCCTCAGCCTCCCAAGTAGCTGGGATTACAGGCTCATGCCACCACGCCCAGCTAGTTTTTGTGTTTTCAGTAGAGACGGGGTTTCACCATGTTGGACAGGCTGGTCTCGAACTCCTGACCTCAAGTGATCTGCCTGCCTCAGCCTCCCAAAGTGGTGGGATTACAGGCATGAGCCACAATGCCCAGCCCTAATTCAGGAATATTCCTATTTCCTCGGTATGGTTTAGATGCATGCAAAAAACAAAGATTTAAAAGTATAGAATATAGGATAGGTGAGTTTGTGTTTAATGAGTGAACTAAAAGTAAATATGTTCTGGAACTAGCTCCTGGGAAGCTTGAAATCCCCTAGGGGAGGAAGATACGGAAAAGGGGAGGAGAAACACTAAGGTTCTTTTCCCTTATATCACACTTAATACAAGACATATGTAGTTAATACAAGATATAAATGACTCTAATGATATTACTGATGACAGGCAGCAGGCAGAACAATGAAAATAATAATCATTTGCATGTGTAAGGTACTTCAGAGTTTGCAAAGAGCTTCCTCACCTCACCTTGCAAGGAGCTACCTTTGACATCGGAAGGAACTGGTATTCCCATCCTATATATGAAGTTTGGAGAGAGAAAGTAATTTGTTCAAGGTAGTATTTAGTACTTGGCAAAGCCAGGGCCCAAAGCCAGAACTTCTGGCTTCTAGTCTGTAGCCTGTTCACTAGTCTGTTTGGGGAGAATATTGGATACTGAGTCCAAAGCTCAGCGTTTCTAATTCTTGCCCACCTCTTAAGCCTTGTACATTTGGCCAAATAATTTAGACTCTTCAAATTTCTGTTTCTTTACATTTAAAAATTCTGTCCCTCCTTTCTTCATTGAATCAAATGAGACAGTATATAAGAAAACACTTTATAAACTGTGAAATGCTAAATAAATACAAGGAATGTATAACTAAATCCATCTTAATAAGTTAATATTCCTTGGAACCCTGCCTCAAGACATCCTTACAGTTAAACTTTCCTCCCTTTTGTGTTAAAGAATAAAGAGTTCCTCCTTCTCTTTGGAGTTAAACCTTTCACATGTGCTTTAATAGTAGACCAGTAAATATGTATCCAGGATTTACCAAGATGGTATTGTCTCACTTAATCTTCATACTATTTTATAGACAATGAGCTGAAGCCCCCAAAAGCTACACAATTTGCTTATTTACGCAAATTAAGTATTACAGCCTATGACATCCTGTTTCAGAACTTATGCCTTTAATTGTTATGAAATATTGTCTTGCTAATGGTTTTGGCAACTGGTCTGTTTTGCCTTATTTTGGTTTTCGGTTGCTGTAAAACAGTATGCTCTCACATTAAATGGCTTAAAATCACATCCCTGTATTTGCTCATAATTCTCCAATCTGGATTGGGCTCCACTGCATGATTCTTCTGCTGATTTTGTCTGGAGTTAATTCATCTGGCTTCAGTGAGCTAGGAACACATCTGGGGCTGAATCATCCAGGAGGGTCTGTTATCCTGCAAGGTTCCAGCCACATGGTCTCTCATCATTCAATAGTCTGGGTCAAGCTTTTGTACAGCATGGCTGATAGCTTCCACCAAGAGGAAAAACTCCAATGTGCAAAGGTTTACCAAGTTTCTGCTGGCATCATGCTTGCTAATGTCACATTGGTCAAAGCAAATCACAAGGTTAAGGCCCACATCATAGGGAAATGAAGCCCAGAAGTTGTGGTTTACTGGGGGTCATCATTGTTTACCATTATCTCCTCTCTTACCCTTTATCTTCAATTTTTCCTTATTTACCTGTCTTTTCCCTTCAGCACAGAAGGGAAATCTGGGGCCGGGCATGGTGGCTCATGCCTGTAATCCCAGTACTTCCAGGGGGCTGAGGCAGGTGGATCACCTGAGGTCAGGAGTTTGAGACCAGCCTGACCAACATGGTGAAACCCCCATCTCTACTAAAAATACAAAAAAATTAGCTGGGTTTGGTGGCGCATGCCTATAATCCCAGCTACTCAGGAGGCTGAGGCACGAGAATTGCTTGAACCCTGGAGGTGGAGGTTGCAGTGAGCCTAGATCACGCCACTGCACTCCAGCCTGGAAAACAGAGTGAGACTCTGTCTCAAAAAAAAAAAAAAAGAGAAAGAAAGAGGAAAGGAAAGGAAAGGAATCTGAATGATCACATTCAAATACAAATATAAATTTCCTGTAACTGCATATTCCCTTTAAGCTACCACGTTACTCTCCTTTGCACAGCCAATCATTTTTAGAGTGGTCTACACTCACTGCCCTCACTTCATCACTGCCTGTTCATTCTCCAATCACTGCAGGCTGGCATCCACCGACACCACAGCAACAAAACTGCTCTCCCTGAGATCCTCAATAACCTCTGCACTTCCAGAGGCAATGGATAATTTCCTGACCTTGTTTGCTTTGAACTCTCTGTGACATTTAACACTTCCCTTTTCTCATGTGACTCTTCTTTCTCTCACTGTTTGTATCTTTAGCTCTTCCCATCCTCTGATGGTGCCTAATGATCTTCACTCCCCAGGGTTCTGGCTCCAGCTCTCTGCTCAACTGGTTGAATAACTGCTCATGCTACAGCATGCAAGCTACATCTGTAACCCCAAACTCCATGCTTACCTCCAGACCTATCTACCCAAGTATCTACTAGATATCTCTACTCAAATTCAACAAGCCCAAAACTAATCCACCGTCTGTCTTCTAAAACCAAACCTTCCTCCTATAATCCTTCACCTTGGTAATTAATACCACCATTTACTAAGTTGTTCATATGAGAAATGTGACTCAAGACTTTTCCTTCTCATATTCCTACAATATCTAATTCGTCATTAAGTTTTATCTGTTCTTTTTTTAATTATTTCTTAGAACTATCCAGTTGTGTTTTGGTAAATGAGCAACCCATTCTCTGAGAGAGGGAGAGGTGGGTGACACTTGATGGTTTTCATGGTGTGACTGATCCTCCCACCACAACTGATTTTGATGCAGGATATTTTCTTGACCCCTTCACGGAACTCGCGGCAGGGGTGCCTTGTTTACTCAGCCCGCCCTGCTCAATCCCTTGCAGGAGGGAGTGCGCAAGCGAATGACTGCAGGAACCTGAGCGAGCGAAGGCAGGAACTGGCCACTTTGGCACCAGCAGGAGCAAACTCCATGTGGGCCCCTCACCAGCGTCCAGGTGTGGGCACCAGCCACGCCAAGCCCCAGAGGGCGTGTAACCATACTCTTAGCTCCACCGTCCGCAGACAGCAGTGTGTTATCAGCTCAGTGAGCCCTTTGCCTCATCACGTAGGGCAACTGCCTTCCGCCAGCAAGGGCAAAGGGCCAGTGCGACCGCCTTTTTGGATACCTGCACGTAGTGTGTCCGAGTTCTTGTCCAGTGCCCAAGAGGAATGAGGTCACACAGATGAATTGAAGGATGGCGAATGTGGAGAATTTTTTTTTTCAGTGACGAAAGCGGCTCTCAGTGGAGAGGTGAGCTGGAAAGGGAATGGGAAGGGAAGATCCCTCTCCTCTGAAGTCAAGCCACCTCTCTCCTATGTCCAGGCGCTTCTTCTCGACATCAGGCTGCTTCTTCCCTCTGCTGGCTGAGTTCTGGGGTCTTTATGGGCACAGGATGGGGACGGGGCAGGCCGTAGGTAGTTTTGGAAAAGGCAATATTCAATTGGTAAAAAGACAGTATTCAGAAATAACCAATCGGGAGAGAATGGAAGTTCTCACTTTGGGCTGTGGGTTTCAGGCTTTTCGGCTTGAAGGTGGGATTTTGCCAGCGACCCGCCCCTGTATGCCTACAGTTTCTCTGCCTCCTGTTGCTATCAATTTTAAGCTACCAACATGACGCCACTGAACAGAATCGGGAAGAGACATGCGGAACACATATTATATAGTATTTCCACCAACAGATATAATAGATGTAAATAACCTCAAAAGAGTAGATAATAGTAAAATAATTATGAAGTGATGAGTTTCTACTATTTTCTTTGCTTTTAACATAATTAAATTATACATGTATGTAATTTAATTTTTAATTGATGACTTTAACAACCAACTCAAAAAAGTCTTGAAATGTAACAAACAGCTCTCACAAACCAGTACAGGTTGGATCTATCCCTCTTTTCTCCACTCCTAAGACCACAGCCCAAATGTAAGGCTCTGACCACCTCACCTTGATGTTACAATTGTCTCTCACAGGTCATGCTACTGGTCTGTCCTCCACACAGCTGTCACACATACAAATCTGGTTATATCATCACCCCTGTCCACACATGTGTGCACACACACAGACATACACACATGCGTGCACACACAGACACTTACAATAATTCTTTGGGTCCCTATAGCTCTATGGCTGGAATTTTTAATTCCTTGTTTAATGCACTATGACTTTTACAATATGGCTATCTGCTTACTTTTGAGCCTTATCTACCCCAGCCCACTTCCCCTATTGACAGCCTAGAGACCCAAATATTAACATCCTAGAGACTCGATGCTTCTGCAACTTCACCCATGCTGCTGCCTGCCACCCTCTAGAGTACATCTAGCTGTGTGAGAACATCCTTCATACAGCTAACTACTGTTTATTAGTTTTCAAACCTCAGATCAAGAATTACCTTCTCTGGAGGTCATCTCTATACAGTAGTTAAGAACACTGTAGTTAAGAACACAGACAGACCTGATATCAAACAGAAGTGTTAAATATCTGCTGTGCCACTTCCTAGCTGTGTAACCCTGAACAAGTTACTTAATCTTTATGCCCGAGTTTCCTTACTAGTGAAATGATTACAATAATGTGCTTACCTGATAGAACTGTTCAGAAGGTTTAAAGAATATGTGTGTGCAAAGCTCTTAGAATAGTGCCTAGAACTTAAGTACTTTGGATGTAGTAAAGTTAGCTATTATCAACTACCTAATTTAAAAATGCCTCCTATCTCTCTTTCCATTGCATTATGTACATAATCATCACATTACACTATATGATTTTATATAAATATATTATATATTTATAGATACATTATTAGTATATACATATATAGATACGTGTATATAATACATATATAGATACATGTATATAAGTATATAGATTATATATGTACACATATAGTATACATTTAGCCCTCAACCTGTGGGATCTGACACTATCTCCAGGTGCACATACATAGTATATACACATATGTATACTATATATATATATATATACTTATATACATGTATCTATATATGTATATATTTATCTATATACGTATCTACATTACATACATATATGTATCTATACACACACACACACACACACACACACACACACATATGTTTCATCCACGGTTCCTGTCTCATAATTCCCATAGACCTTTTTATAATGTTATAATGTTGGTGCATTTTAGGCCTCATAAGCGGACCTCAGAATAACAGGATTTCTCTCTCTCTAATCTTCTATTTTTTTACCTGCTACTTTTTCTCCCCAAGGCAGGACTCTAATCTTCCTCTGCCTTTACCTACCTTGTGTGATTGTAGGTCATAAGACCCCCATTTCAGAAGGGGTTCTGCCCCATATTCTGGAGGAAGGAATGTTGCATGGAGAGGCCAAGAAGAGGCCCAGCACAGTGATCCATGTCTGTAATCTCAGCACTTTTGGAGGCCAAGATGGGACAATCGTTTGAGCCCAGGAGTTCAAGACCATCCTGGGCAACATAGGAAGATCCTGTCTCTACAGAAAAAAAAAAAATTAATTACCCAAGTGTGGTGGCAATCACCTGTAACCTCAACTACTTGGGAGGTTGAGGTGGGAGCATGCTTGGGCCCAGGAGGTCAAAATCACGCCACTGCACTCCAGCCTCACAGTCAGAGTGAGACCCACCTCAAAGGAAAAAAAAAAGAGGCCAAAAAGAATCTGAACAGATGGGCCTTACCGGGTTTCCCCACTCAGCCTTTGAGTACTAAAGCATACCCTTTTTGTCTAAACACATTTCTATGTGGTTGTCAATGGTGCCTATCCTTTCATGAAGTCTCCATAAAAGGCCCAAGGGGACGAGGTTTGAAGAAATTACAAGATAACTGAACCTATGGAGGTTCCTAGAGGGTGTGTTCCGGGGAGGGCTTGGCAGCTCTGTGCCCCTTCCCCCATACCTCACCCTTTGCATCTCTTCACTTGTATCTTTTTGTAATATCCTTTATTATAAACCAGTAAATCTAAGTAGGTGTTTCCCTGAGTTCTGTGATGCACTCTAGCAAATTAATCGAACCCCAAGAGGGAGTCATGGAAGCCCAACTTGAAACCAGTCAGCCAGAAGTTCTGGAGGCCTGATCTTGTGACTGGTATCTGGGAAAGGGAAGATGTCTTGTGAGACTGAGCCCTCAACCTATGGGATCTGACGCTATCTCCAGGTACACAGTGTCAGAATTCATTTGGAGGACACTCAGCTGGTGCCTGCTGCAGAGTTGATTGCTTGCATGTTGATGACAAAAAATCTCCCACATTTGGTCACAGAAGTCTTCTGTGTTGATTGTAGCGTGGTGTGAGACCACAGGAAAAGCAGTTAGAGATTTTCCACACCCAGAAACTCTTAAGAGAGAAACTATGTGTCCTTGTGCTTAGGCAGTGTCTAGTAAGTACTCAATGAATGAATTTAAAAAAAATGGATTAGTGATGCAAGTTCTGGCCAACTGGACATTCTTTCCTTTTGATTCATTCAGCTACATTTAGATTTAGGGAAATGAAGGGAACTTGTGAGATCATGTGAGATCATGCGGACAGATTAAAAGGGAAATATTTTCTCAAATTTAATTAGTTATGCATGTTGCTGCAACAAACAAAAAGAAATGAGCCTTATGATGCAAAACACGTTTGATAATTCTTACTCCCCTTTTAAGTTGTACCATTTGTAAGAAAATAGGGTAGCATTCCATGTGCCTAATTCCACTGTTATGTGTGATGAATGTCGGAAATACTCCTGGCATTAAAAGGAGCCTAAATGTGTGGCCAGAATGGACTTTAATGTTCCACTGGACAATTTTTCTGACCTCACAGCAAAACTTAAATTACATTATTTTCTGAGAATCTAAGTTGTTTATTCAAGAATCACAACTTAACTTATCAGGAAGATGAGAGAAAAAAGAATTAAAATTTATTGAGCATCTCCTAGGTATCAGGCATTTTTACCAGTACCATTTCTTCTAACTCTCACAAAACTGAATTAGATGTTTTATTAGTCAAGGTTCTCCAGAGAAACAGAACAAATAGGAGATAGGTAGGTAGGTAGGTAGGTAGATAGATAGATAGATAGATAGATAGATAGATAGATAGATAGATGATAGATAGATAGAGATATAGATAATGAGGACTTAGTTTACATTAATGGAGCCAGTCCCAAGATCTGCAGTCAGCAAATTGGAAAGCCAAGAGAGCCAATTGTATAGTTCCCGTTCAAGTCTGAAGACCTGAGAACCAATGATGTTGAGTTCTAGTCCAAGTCTGAAGGCCTAAGAATTGGAGGGCTGATGGTGTTAAGTCCCAATCCAACAGCAGAATATCAATGTCCCAACTCAAACAGATAGGCAGAGAGAGAGAGGGAATTCTCCCTTCCCCTGCCTTTTTGTTCTATTCAGGTCCCCAGTGGATTGAATTATGCCCACTCACATTGGGTAGAGCAATCTGCTTTATTCTGTCTACCAATTCAAATGTTAATTTCTTCAGAACACACCCTCAGAGACACACCCAGGAATAATGTCTAAGTAGATATCTGGGCATCCCATGGTCTAGTCAAGTTGACATATAAAATTAACCATCACAGATGTTATCCCCATTTTTAGATGGGGAATCTGAGGCTTAGAGGGCTAAGTAACTTGCCAAAGATCATATAGATGGCAAATGTTGCTCCAGAGTTCAAATGCATGTCTCTCTAATCTGAAAGCACCAGTCTGCTTCCGCTAAACCAATGGTTCTCAATCAGGGCGATTTTGCCCCCCATGGAACATTTGGCAATGTCTGGAGACATTTTTGTTTGTCCCTAGCTGGTGGGGGATGGGGGCTCGCTACTGACATCTAATGGGCAGAGGACAGGAATGCTGCTAAGCATCCTACAAGGCACAGGACAGCCCCCCACAACAAAGAATCATCAAGCCAAAATGTTAACAGTGCCAAGATAAAGAAACCCTTCACTAAACCATACTATTTTGTATTTCTATAGTTTTCAAAACCAGTAGAATAGTAATAACATACTGATCTAAAATATAAGGCTAGGCACAGTGGCTCATCCCTGTAATCCCAGTACTTTAGGAGGCTGAGGTAGGAGGAATGCTTGAAGCCAGAAGTTTGAGACCAGCCTGGGCAACATGGAAAGACCCCATCTCTACAAAAAAAAAAAAAAACAATTAGCTGAGCATAATAGTTTGCACCTATATCCCCAGCTACTTGAGAGTCTGAGGCAGGAGGATCACCTGAGCCCAGGAACTGGAGGCTGCAGTGAGCTATGATTGCAATTACACTCCAGCCTGAGCAACAGAGCAAGACCCTGTCTCAAAAATAAAAATAAATAAATAAAATAAAATATAAGTGACTATAGTTCCATAACTCTAATAAATATTTGTGGAATAAATGAATAAATAAGTAAACATTGAATTTAAAATGTAGAGGAAAGAAACTGCGTTTTTCAATGATTCTTTACAATTAGCATTCACTAGGAGGATAGAATGTTTTAAATTATCATCGCTAATAGAGTCCACATATTTACTTTAAGCATGAATTACCATATATAAAATATTTTATTTTAATACAATAAAAATCATGGAATATATTTTAGTGGGTTTAGTAGTTTAAGGGGAAAAGATAGCAGCAATTTAGGATTCATACAATTAATGGAATTATTTTCAATTTTAGAATCCTAAAATATTAGGGTTAGAGGATCATCTAGGTCTCACTCTTCATTGTTCATCACTTGAGAAAACTGTATCTAAGAAAGGGCAAGTGACTTTCCCAAGGTCTCCTGGCAGTCAGGGACACTGCTAGAGCCAGAATCCAGCTCTCCTGACAGTTTAATGCTTTTCTTGTTTTAAGGTGTTTTTCAATGTATTAGAGTTTTGGGGCAGCGGGGGGAGGTTGCTCCATGTTTTTACTTAAATACATTTTTCTTTCATGGAAAATTGAATTCCTATGCTTTTTGCCTTGTTTAGGCCATAAGATGTTTTATTGAAAGAAACTTTCAATATCAAGTAATCCAACCAACCTTCTAAGATAAGCCTTTTCCTTCAACACAAAGAAGTGCATTTTGCCAAGTACGTACCATCTTACTCCTTAAAATGTTTGGAACTTTTTGTTTAAAAACTCAAACTCAAAGTGAAATCTCAATTTGTCACAATGGTGGTTTTTTTGTTTGTTTTGGGATTTTTTTAGTTTTTGTCCCCCTTCCTTACACCTTTGTGTAAGAGGTAAAATGGAGAATTTGCAAAATAACTAGAAAAAAGCTGGAGTGGGAGCCAGGAAATCTAGCTTCAATCCCAGCTCCCCTTCTACAGAGCTCAGTGATCTCCAGCATGTCACACTGTAGGCTTTCTAGGCCTGTTCTTCATCTGCCACATCCTGGGGTTGTTGTAAAGATCAAATAAGGTAATATCCCATTTGTAAATTTATTTGGTAAACCCAAAGCACTATGGCAATAGAAATGTCAAGTATATTTTATATGCCATTACCCGTTCTAAATAAAGTAAACACCCATTCCATTGTTAATATTCTAAATTTCTCCTTGTTATATGTAGTCATTTTCAGAAGGATCACTTAGAAGAATTATACTTGAGTCTCCAAGTACATGTCCTTTTCATTAAAACTGGGAATTGATTAGTCCAGACTAGTAAGGTTATAAATGATTTAAGTTTCTCCCCACACCCCTGATTCAACCCTCCCACCCCCACCCCACCACACACACACACACACACACACACACACACACACACACACACACACAATACCAAATCACTTTCTATGTGCAGCTTTACTCTCTATTCTTCCAACTGACTGTTCCCTGGTCCAGGTGGCCCACCCTGGACCACCTGGATTTGAATAGTGAGATAGGTAAAAATGTGTTCTTGTTCCCAATATGATGAGGAAGTCTATGCTATAGCCCTGTTTTCTTCAATAAAAACTTCATTTGCTGCTAGTTTGAGAGGCCGAGGCAGGTGGACCAGTTGAGGCCAGGAGTTCGAGACCAGCCTGGGCAACATGGCGAAACCCCTGTCTCTACTAAAAATACAAAAATTAGCCAGGCATGGTGGCACATGTCTGTTATTCCAGCTACTTGGGAGGCTGAGGCATGAGAATCACTTGAGCCTAGGAGGCAGAGGTTATAGTGAACCAAGATTGCGCCATTGCACTCCAGCCTGGGCAACAGAGCAAGACTCTGTATTAAAAAAAAAAAAAGGAAAAAAAAAAACTTCATTTGCTGAGTTAGAACCAAAGACCCACAAAGACCCACAGGAATTCCTATGTGTCACACTAAAAATGATGATGATAATGACAGAGGAAAATATGAAGAAAATATGAAATGGAAGTCATCTGTTGTGAAATGGAGATGAAACATATACATATGTTGCCACTCCCTGCTAAAATTCCAGAATAATGATAGGAAAAGAATAGTAATAATATAGACTCACAGTGACTGAGATAAAAGAAGAGGAGACAAAGAAGACAAGTGTCAACACATCTTTAGAAGATGGAAGACTGACTTAGAACAGGGAAAGCTTAAACCTAAGAGTCTGCAGAGAAGGATGCCATAGACAAAGAAGGAAGCCATTCACACTGAAGAACCCATGCAAGTTTCCAGAATTGGAGGCACCAGGTGATTTGGAAGGCAGGGTGAGGATAGAGGCTGAAATCTGGAGTATTGGTTGAAAGCCTATCAGATTAACTCTTAGATTCAAGATCCTTCCTCCTGCCTGCACAGCCAGGGGACTTCCATGTTTCAACACAAACAGGAAAAAGCTTATTCTCTGGCTCTGCACTCAGAATAAACACAATGTCAGGTGGGAGGTGGAGCCATACAGAAACCTAGGGACTAAGTGAAAAATCAGTGTGTGCACTGAGAGAACTCCAGTCTCTTCACTGATTTCACAGAATGCTAGCAACCAGGTTTATATTTGCTTCTCAAGGTAAGAGGTATGAATTTCTCCTCTAGAGAAAAGAAAATCTCCCTGTAATATCTGTCAATGACATTTGGGGTGCCCCATCAAGACTGTCAGGTTACTGCTCCTTGGAAGCCCTCCAATGCTCCATGGAACTATTCTTTGGAAGCCCTCCAAGCCCTGTCCATAAAGTTCTAATTGGCTTTCTAGTGACTCACTGCAAAGTATTAATGGACAGCCAAATACATCAGACATTAGAGAAAAGCTTTCAACAGGAAAAACAAAGATCAAAACAAACTAACTGGGGAAAAAAGGAACAAGAAGGAAACAGAAACTGCAGGGTGCAGAGGAAATTTTCAAAATATTTGATTAATATCCTCAAGGAGACAAGAACATATGTCACACTAATAAAGAACAGGACAATATTAAAAAGAAGCCTTCGGGAAATAAAAAATTAACAGTATATAAGCATATTCTCACTCATATGGAAGCGAAAAAGTTGATCTCATAGAAGTAAGAAGTAGAACAGAGGATACTTGAGGCTGGGAAGGGTGAGGAGAAGAAAGGAATAGGGAGCTATTTGTTAAAGGACGTAAAACTATAGCTAATAGGAAGAATAAGTTCTAGTGCTCTATACCACTGTAGGATATTATATATTTCAAATAGCTAGAAAGAAGACACTGTTCCCAATACAAAGAAATAATAACTGTTTGAGGTGATGGATATGCAAATTATCCTTATCTGATCACTATACATTATATGTAGTGAAGCATCACTATGTACCCCATGAATATGTATAATTGTTATTTGTCAATTTAAAAATAAAATTAAAAAAGAAAATGAAGTATAAAGGTATAATTTTTTTTAATCAATAAAACAGGCCAGGCACAGTGGCTCATCCCTGTAATCCTAGCACTTTAGGGGGCTGAGGCAGGCAGATCACTTTGAGCTCAGGAGTTTGATACCAGCCTGGGTATCATGGCGAAACCCTATCTCCAGGAAAAAAAAAAAAATCAATAGGAGAGATGTAAGGTAAAAGTGAGAAAGTTTCCCAGAATGATAGACACACTGTTGAAGAGAAGAGCAAAAATGATTAGCAAATCGGAGAATCAACCCCAGAATTCTGATATTTAACTAATATAAATTCTAGAAAGAAAAGACAAAAAATAGAAGGGCAAAAATCATTAAGGAACTAACACATAAAATGCTCCCCAGAACTGAAATATATAAATTTCCAAATTCAAAGGGCCTAATGAGTTCCTAAACTAAATGTAAAAGTATCCAAACTAAGGCAGAGATGGTAATATTTCAGAAGACTAGGGCCAAATGTAAAAACATAAAAGCATCCATAAAGAAGAAAAAAATACTATGTTCATAAAAACATTGGGGAAAAACTCACATCAGAGTTCTTACTAGCAACACTGGAAATTATAAGAAAATAGACCAATGTTTTAAAAAAAATTCTGAGAAAAAAATACTCCAATCTAGAATTCTATATCTATTCAAACTATGTATCAAGTAAAGGGTAAAATACAGATATTTTTCTAATATGCAATACCTTAAAAATTCTGTCTCCTGTGTGTGGTTTCTCAAGAAACTTATGGAGTATGTGCTTCATCAAAATGAGGGAGAAAACTAAGAAAGAAAAATATATGGGACTTAGGAAGCAAGAAATCAAACAGAAGAAAAAAGACAAAGGGGATTACCAGGGCGTGGTGACCCCAGGTATGGACCCCAGGAGAAAAGCTGCCCAGCAGCCGGAGATACACCAGTCCAAAGGAAGCAAGAACTCCGAGGCTCTGGGAGTGCCACTTCCAAGGGGCGAAATGGACACGAGGGATTTCCTTACGGGGTTGTTGATGTAGCTCTGTTGTTGTTATTGTTGTTACCATATTAAGAGGAAATTTTAAATTTTGTTGGAAAATTCAGGAAGAATAAGTGATGGGTGCACAAAAAAGTACGTAAAAAGCTTTAAAAGGAAGGCAATTTTTAAATCAAAACCAAAGCAAAATATCGTTCAAGAAAATAAATGTCAGTGTGGTTCAACACATGAAATGACTACTTGGTTCAGCTGTGAAGAATATTTACATTGTCATGAATGTTAAATAAAAATTTAAACAAGAATTATGATAAAATTATTTTAGGAAGAGAAAGGAGGAAGAGAAGTGTGTGCGTGCGCGCGTATGTGCGTGCGCGCGTACGTGTGTGTGAAGTGATAGTTGTTGCAATATTAAATCCCTAGAGTAATATTTAATATATTTTAAAATATCCATTTAAGCACATTGTTTAGAAATATTGGAATAAGTAGCAGAAGAAACTGCTCAGTTTCTTTATAAACCTCAAAGTCTTACTTAAAACTCTGTGAATGTGTTTATGTTTGCAAAAAATAATTTAAAGGAGTCATCTAGTATTTCTGGGCGATCCATAAAACCTCTATTAAATACTAAAAGCTGCAGCCCTAATCCCAGTTACAGGTCAGACTACCAGACTTAGGGATATCCTGCAAAAAAATGTAGGCTGCCCACTACTTTCAAGAACCACAATAATATAACTGGTGTGTGGGAAAAGCCTTAGACCCAGAGTTCATCTGGAGACAACTTACTTAACCTCTCTGAGCCTCACTTGTCTCGTTTCTAAACTTAAAGAGTTCGTTCGGAACTAACTAAACTCAAATGAAAGGCAAATACCAAAAGTGAGACAGATCAAGCACAAACGCCAGCATCCCTTACAGAGGACAGTCTCAACTCAGATGCAGCCAACTGCTGTCATGAAGACCTGTTGTTGCTAAGAGGTCAGATGGTTCAAGAGAAACTGGAAATTTGGATTTTGACATGAAACCTCTGGAATTTAAAATACTAGTTTAAAATGCACAGTGCCTACCAAACCAAACCTATCTGCAGGCCACCCCTAACTCACAGATTGCCAGTAAAGACCTCTAAATCAGATGAACATTAATACCCTCTAGGTCTATTACTCTGTGGCAGTGCAGT
This sequence comes from Homo sapiens, assembly GCF_000001405.40. Taxonomy (NCBI): domain Eukaryota; kingdom Metazoa; phylum Chordata; class Mammalia; order Primates; family Hominidae; genus Homo; species Homo sapiens. The sequence continues at coordinate 87,499,992 of NC_000004.12, read as the reverse complement.
GCTGCATGACTAAAAATCTTCACTGAATGAATGTGTTTCTTTACCACTAAACAGGCAGCGTGTTTTTACTCAACCTTGACATATGACTTTTTTTTTTCATTATGAATACTCATGAATCTTAAGACCTGAGATCTGCACAGAGTCTTTACTCGAAGAAGTACTGTCATAAACAGAGATAGGTTCTGCCGAACATGGCCGGACCGAAAAATCAGGGAGCAATTTTCACAGGTACACAATCGAGTAAGAACTGCCATCAATCTGTCTTTTCAGACATATTAATCCACAAAGATAGAAATCACTTTTATATGCCAAGGACAATATCAAGCTCAGTATTTGCTAAGACTATCTTTCAGTTTTTCATGAGGAAACTTTTCCCTGCCACTGATAATTATCTTCTTGGTTCACAGATCTGGAAAGCATGAAGACTGGGCTTTTTTTCCTATGTCTCTTGGGAACTGCAGCTGCAATCCCGGTAAATTTCCTTTCTTCTGTTATTACATCTCTTTCTCCTGACATTTAATGCAGAAATCCTCCATTTAAAAGAAAATGTTCTTATATAATGGTTTGAAATTCTCTTTTTATTTTAATTATATTCTTTATTGCCCAAGTAACAAACAAATAACTGGAAAACTCAAGATAAGGTACTTAAAAAAAAATTTTAGAACTATCAGGTTCTACAGGACACAATAAATATGCAGCAGAAAGTTTGGGCTATCAGTTTATTAGCCATAGAATCAGCCCAAATACACAAGAGACAGGAAGAAATAAATTCTCCCAGGGAAGCTCATCACATTGTTATTATAAACCCAAGATTTTAGGCCAGGTGCGGTGGCTCACGCCTGTAATCCCAGCACTTCGGGAGGCTGAGATGGGCGGATCACCTGAGGTCAGGAGCTCAAGACCAGCCTGGCCAACATGGCAAAACCCCGTCTCTACTAAAAAATACAAAAATTAGCCGGGCATGGTGGCGGGCACCTGTAATCCCAGCTACTCGGGAGGCTGAGGCAAGGAGAATCAATTGAACCCAGGAGGCAGAGATTGCAGTGAGCTGAGATCACTCCACTGCACTCCAGCCTGGGCAACAGAGTGAGACTCCGTCTGAAAAAAAAAAAATACTTAGGGTGCATATCCACGGTCTCCAGCAGCATTTTCTTCAAGATCAAATAGATGCTGGCTGAGAAATTTTGAGAGTCTATAATGAAAACAGAAACCAATGGTTTAGGCAGGAAACGATATGGTAATCATAAATCAGCTCCTAATTCACCCTTGGGAGGCTGTCCAAGCAAGTATGCTGAAAGTAGGCAGGGCTAGAATATTCTCTTCTTCATGGTCAGATATATTGGCCCCATTTGCACAGCAATAAAGCAGCTGTACACAAATCAGATCATTTGAAACCGTGTCAGTGGCCTCAAAACAAACTGAAAGTTAAAAAACAAATGAAACCATAGCATGAATGACCACTGGAGATGTTCTGCAAATGATTCATGTAATCCTTCATTAAACCAAAGGATTCGTGCCATATTTTTTTTCTTTTTCACCAAATGGAGGAATCAGCCTCCTTTAAAGAGACAAAACAATTTCTCAATCGTCCCTTTCCTCCCTTCTTCTCTAGGTCTAAAATTCTGTCCTTGCTTTTTGGATAAGTTGTTAGCTAGCTTCTGGTTGACAAATGTGTCAGCAAAAACAAACTCCATGGCACCCAGACCAAGCTGTTCTTGGAAGACAGAGTTTATACCCACCATCAGGAATCATGCTTAAGTAGTATGGAGCTACTCTAGCTGAAATTATACATTACACCCTGAAATCACAAAAGCGGGACAAGTTAATGTTCAACACTGAAAGGAGTTCCCACAAAACCGTTGTTTTCTCCTGAAAATGTGCTTTGTCCTTGTGGCTGTTGCTGTTATGTAAATAAACATTAAAAAGTGTCTTTGGGCCACGCACAGTGGCTCCTACCTATAATCCCAGCACTTTGGGAGGTCAAGGCCAGAGGATCGCTTGAGCCCAAGAGTTCAAGACCGGCCTGGGTAACATAGTGAGGCCACGTCTCTACAAAAAAATAAATAAAAAATTAGCCAGCTGCCATGGCATGTGCCTGTAGTCCCAGCTACTTGGGAGGCACAGGAGGGAGGATCCCTTAAGCCAGGGTAGTTGAGGCTGCAGTGAGCCAAGATCGCACACAGCACTCCAGCCTGGGTGACAGAGCAAGACTGCCTCAAAAAACAAAAAAAGTGTTTGAACCAAATGTTTGAATGACACACTTGCATTTAGACACATTCCAGATGTTTCCTTTCTGGGACAATTTGATATCATGTAAACCTAGCCAAACTGCTAGAAAGCTAAGTATCTTCTCATAGAAATGACCTATTAAAAATTTGTATAATTTTCCCTGCCTGCCTGAATTCTCCAGATGAAAATGGATTCTGTGTAGTTGGGAGATTCCAAATAGATTTCCAGAGTTAAATAAATAGAAATATGCCCATAGTGATAAAACATAATTTCAATTGCAGAATATTTCTGAAAGTAAAAGAGCTGCCATTTTTTGTGTGCATTTCTTCCTGCTTGGGCAGTAGGCGGATGGAGGGGGAGAGAGAGTGACCAGTTCTCCACTAATAAGCCTAAAATCTCCCCCATCCATTGCCTTCTATGATGCCCCCTGCTGGCAGCTTACCAAAGTGGCCACCATTCTTTCTCCTTTTCCCCCTTCTTTAAGGCTTCTTTATAAACTTTTTCAAATTCATTACCCATCTTAGGTGAAAAGGAGATAAGAAGCAAAGGAGCAAACCAAACCTAATATGAATCCTGTACTTTGGCCAGAAGCCGTGGCTCACATCTGTAATCCCAGCACTTTGGGAGGCCAAGGTGGGCAGATCACTTGAGGCCAGGAGTTTGAGACCAGCCTGGCCAACATGGTGAAATCCTGTCTCTACTAGAAAAATAAATAAATACAAAAATTAGCAGGGCATGGTGGCAGGCACCTGCAATCCCAGCTACTCAGGAGGCTGAGGCATGAGAATTGCTTGAACCCAGCAGGTGGAGGTTACAGTGAGCCAAGATCACCACTGTATTTCAGCCTGGGCAACAGAGTGAGACTCTGTCTCAAAAAAAAGTTTAAAAATAAAAAATAAATCCTGTACTCCATGACTATTACACAGTCAGCACTACAGGACCTGCTAATGGAATAAAAATAAGTTAATCCAAATAGAATCTCAGTTTCATACTTACACCTGGATAGGCCATCTGAGTGTCCAGAGTATCTCTCTAATAAAGATCCATGGTGAATATCTGCCTCAGATACTGGGCAGTTTATATTATTGACACAGTGTGACATTAGTACTAGAAATAGTAATTTTCAGTTGGGCAACTCCTTAAAATTTATAACATATTTTTTATACATAATCTTATTTTGATATTTCTGCTCACTTGATATTTCTTGCCACCTTGAGAGATGGCAGGGTAGAAATTAATGACCTTGGCCGGTCATGGTGGCTCACACCTGTAATCCCAGCACTTTGGGAGGCCAAGACAGGAAGATTGCTTGAGTTCAGAAGTTCGAGGCCAGACTGGGCAACATGGTGAAACTCCATCTCTACAAAAAATACAAAAATTACCCAGGCATGGTGGTGCCTATAGTCCCAGTTACTGGGGAGGCTGAAGTGGAAGGGTGGCTTGAGCCTGGGAGGCAGAGGTTGCAGTGAGCCGAGACTTCATCACTGAACTCCACCCTGGGCAAGAGGCTGGAGTTAATTAATTAAAAATTAATATAATGAATTAATTTTATTAATGTTTTTTAATTAATAAAAAATATTAACGACCTGTCAAACCACAGATAGAAAGTAAATAGCAGAGGCAAGACTTGAATGGAGGCCTCTTACCTCCAAGTTCAGTTGTTCAACTTCCCCATCATGCATCACTGCCCAGCTCTTTATCCAAGTCTCCAATCTTGCTAGAAATAGGACCATCCCTCTAATAGAAATTAATACTCCAGACATGCCCTTTTCTACTTAGGCTTAGTGCCCTGTCTCACACAGTCTGAATTAATTCTAATTTTTTTTGTTTTTGAGATGGAGTTTCACTCTTGTTGACCAGGCTGGAGTGCAATGGCACAATCTCAGCTCACTGCAACCTCCGCCTCCAGGGTTCAAGTGATTCTCCTGCCTCAGCCTCCCGAGTAGCTGCGATTACAGGCACCCACCACCACACCCAGCTAATTTTTTGTATTTTTAGTAGAGACGGGGTTTCACCATGTTGTCCAGGCTAGTCTTGAACTCCTGCCCTTGACCTCAGGTGATCCACCCACCTCGGCATCCCAAAGACCTGGGATTACAGGCGTGAGCCACCATGCCCAGCCCCATTAAGATTTCCTGACCAACGTTAAGGCCAATGGCGTTAAGAAATCAAATAAATATTGATAAAAAGTTTATAAATTTTTCTGCTAATTATCGGTGGGTACTTAAATTAGGCAAATGTACAATACTATATCCTATGGTTAATTTTATTTGACTTCAACTTTCTGCTAAACAACACTTTCCAAAATTGTAAAGTACAAATGCTTTGCAAAAGTTTAAAAAACACAGAAAATAATTTCAAAACTCAAAGTTACCATTATTTAAATGCATTTTGTTTTATTTTCACCCAGTCTCTGCATAAATAACTTTTTCTTAAACACAATTGAGATTCTGCTTCCACTTAACATTCTGTTCTAGGCATCTGCTTATATCCTCAAAAACTCTAGAGAATATTTTTAAATTGTTGGTATAAATGAAGTATATTGCTACTAATAATGATGACAACAAGAGTAACTAGCAAATTTGTAAATTAGCATCCAGACATGAATAACAAAAACCAGTTTTTAATTTTTTCAGACAAATGCAAGATTATTATCTGATCATTCCAAACCAACTGCTGAAACGGTAGCACCTGACAACACTGCAATCCCCAGTTTAAGGGCTGAAGCTGAAGAAAATGAAAAAGAAACAGCAGTATCCACAGAAGACGATTCCCACCATAAGGTAAAAGTAACATCATTTATATTAATACAATTTTTTAATTCTCCAAAGGTCTTAGTTTCAAAGCATGGTAAAAGAGATTATGTTATTTATGTCTCAGTTTAATTTTTTTAAAACATGATGATCACCTCAACTGCCTCCAATCACTAGAAGAATGATGAGGATTAATGAGTTTTACTACTTGGGCTGAGCTGCTGTATACTTGTTTCATTTTATAAAATCCAAATTCAGTTTAAACCTGTGGCTACAGAGTGTGAGGAATATTATAAACATGTTTACATGATAGTGTGTGAAGAAAAAGAATAATGAATATTAAATGTTACCTTAGGCATAAATATGGTTACATTATCATTTGTTTGAAGAATGAACTTTTTTTTCTTTTAAGGCTGAAAAATCATCAGTACTAAAGTCAAAAGAGGAAAGCCATGAACAGTCAGCAGAACAGGGCAAGAGTTCTAGCCAAGAGCTGGGATTGAAGGATCAAGAGGACAGTGATGGTCACTTAAGTGTGAATTTGGAGTATGCACCAACTGAAGGTACATTGGACATAAAAGAAGATATGAGTGAGCCTCAGGAGAAAAAACTCTCAGAGAACACTGATTTTTTGGCTCCTGGTGTTAGTTCCTTCACAGATTCTAACCAACAAGAAAGTATCACAAAGAGAGAGGAAAACCAAGAACAACCTAGAAATTATTCACATCATCAGTTGAACAGGAGCAGTAAACATAGCCAAGGCCTAAGGGATCAAGGAAACCAAGAGCAGGATCCAAATATTTCCAATGGAGAAGAGGAAGAAGAAAAAGAGCCAGGTGAAGTTGGTACCCACAATGATAACCAAGAAAGAAAGACAGAATTGCCCAGGGAGCATGCTAACAGCAAGCAGGAGGAAGACAATACCCAATCTGATGATATTTTGGAAGAGTCTGATCAACCAACTCAAGTAAGCAAGATGCAGGAGGATGAATTTGATCAGGGTAACCAAGAACAAGAAGATAACTCCAATGCAGAAATGGAAGAGGAAAATGCATCGAACGTCAATAAGCACATTCAAGAAACTGAATGGCAGAGTCAAGAGGGTAAAACTGGCCTAGAAGCTATCAGCAACCACAAAGAGACAGAAGAAAAGACTGTTTCTGAGGCTCTGCTCATGGAACCTACTGATGATGGTAATACCACGCCCAGAAATCATGGAGTTGATGATGATGGCGATGATGATGGCGATGATGGCGGCACTGATGGCCCCAGGCACAGTGCAAGTGATGACTACTTCATCCCAAGCCAGGCCTTTCTGGAGGCCGAGAGAGCTCAATCCATTGCCTATCACCTCAAAATTGAGGAGCAAAGAGAAAAAGTACATGAAAATGAAAATATAGGTACCACTGAGCCTGGAGAGCACCAAGAGGTAAAATTATTTTAAATGGTCCTTGTCCAATAAAGCCAGCATTATCAATAAACAGTCATGACCTTTCTCTGTGCTCTCACAGTGTCCTGTATGGATGTCTACTAGTACATTACTAAAATATATTACAGTTATTTCTTTTTAGGTCTATCTCTATCATTAGGCTGAGAATGCCTGTTTTATTTGAGTTCCCGTAGATGCAGATCTTGGATTTGAGTGTTGTTTATTTAAGAAGCACAGGGAACAAAGAGGAGTGCAGAAGTAACACAAGAAGGAAAGGAAGCTAATAAAAGGAACATCATTCAAGCCATGTAAAGACATTTTCTCAGAAGTATTCCATTTGGCGACTGAAGGAGCTAGGGTACTTCTTTTGGCTGAGGATTGCTAGAGGGGTATTAATTTCCCAGCATTTCCAGCCTGTCCCTTGAGTGAGCCAGGTCAATTTCCATGATTTTTCAGGCACGGAAATGCAGATATTGGCCATTGAAAGTCCCTGGAACTAGCTGGAATGATAAATTATGACAGATCTGAAGGATAGGAGATACTGGCAACTGCTGCTCTAATGCCTTGAAAGCAGATGCCATATTGTTTTCGAGTTGAATCACCAGTGTCCAACAAAATGTCTCTGACATAACAAAAGAGCCAACAATGTTTGTTGAATTAGTTATAAAGATTAAGGTCCTACTTTATTAAGCAAACACATACCAAAATGATAATCTGGAAACTACAGCAGGATCGGGGCAGGGAGGAAGCATATTTGGAGCTTTCATTCAAAATCCTGGCAGCCACAAAGTCCTGTGCCAGCAGGACTTGGCACAGATTTTGGTACACAAGGTCAATGGTAACCTCAGTTACTGAGAACTCTGCTGCCACTCTAACGTAGGAGTTTTCTTATACCTTAAAAGCCTGGTATGAAAGCTTTACCAACAAATTCAGAGAGATTTCCAATGTAACTCTGGCTTAACTACAAAATCACAAGATAATACTACATTTCTAGTGTTTTCTCAAATCCAAAGAGGAGACTCCAAGTCTTATTGAGTAATCCCCAGAGATAACGCACTAAATCTCACTGATAAAGATAGAAATGGGTCCTGTTCTCCAAGGGTTACTGTCTACCTCCACAGTTGTGACTGATTTCCCTTTCTTTTTTCTTTTTTTTTTTTTTTTGAGACGGAGTCTCACTCCTTCACCCAGGTTGGAGTGCAGTGGCGCAATCTCGGCTCACTGCAACCTCTGCCTCCCAGGTTCAAGCAATTCTCCTGTCTCAGCCACTCAAGTAGGTGGGACTATAGGCGCCTGCCACCATGCCCAGCTAATTTTTGTATTTTTAGTAGAGACAGGGTTTCACCTTGTTGGTCAGGCTGGTCTCGAATTCCTGACCTCAGGTGATCCACCCACCTCAGCCTCCCAAAGTGCTGGGATTACAGGCTCCATTTCTTCTTTTTTTTCTGTTTTGTTTTGTTTTTAGAGATGGAGTCTTGCTCTGTCTCCTAGGCTGGAGTGTAGTGATGCAATCACAGCTTACTGCAACCTCAACCTCCTGGGCTCTAGCAGTCCTCCCACCTTAGCTTCCTGAGTAACCGGGACCACAGGCATGCACCATCATGCCCAGCTAATTTTTTTTTTTTTGGGGGGGGGGGTGGGTAGAGATGGAGTTTCCCTATGTTGCCCAGGTTGGTCTTAAACTCCTGGGCTCAAGTGATCCTCCCACCTTGGCCTCCCAAAGTGCTGGGATTACACATGTGAGCCACCACACCCAGCCTGGTTTCCCTTTCTGAGATTTGAAATGATTTGAGCATGAAAAATACTCGTGAAAGTATGCACAGTGGAAATATAAATTAAGTAATGGCTCTCCTCTTAGTAGATTTTAACTTTTGCTCTTGTTATTCTAAAGGCCAAGAAAGCAGAGAACTCATCAAATGAGGAGGAAACGTCAAGTGAAGGCAACATGAGGGTGCATGCTGTGGGTGAGTATGCATGAAGCAAGCTGTTTGTGACTATATCAAGGAAGAAATGGAATCTGCCACTTTGGGCTTGTCCCTCCATCCTTTGTGAATGCTGCACAGAATTTTTTCTCTCCCCAGTCCTCCCCAAGGAAATGCTCCCATAAATTGTTGACATTTTCTTGTGCATACTTGATATACAACAATGGGTAAATGTGTTTGCAAACTGGAAGCCCTGTTGAGATATTAGTGAAAGGGCTAGAGTTCTTCCTTAAATCCTTTTGCTTCTGAAAAGACTTAATTCTATCTTATTTATTCTCAAATCTGTAACTTGCTGATGAATTTATATCCCATACTTGATAAAGGACCTTATTCCTCCCCCTATCACAAACATTTTGAATTTCAGCCTTATTTCACTTCTGACCAGCTTGCACAACGTTGCACTAAGGACTTCAGACTATGACCATCTCAGGCATAGAAGAGCTGTCTGTTCTTTGCACATCTCCAATCCAAACTGCTGCAAGAGGAAATCTAGATTATCATGTAAAATAATCAGTAAAATTATCATGTAAAATAGAAGGTTCCATCTGACATTAACACATCAATTAAAGAGGATTCCAATGTCTTCCCACTTCCAAATTTGCAAATTTCAAGGACTTCAAAATTTCCCCTTCATTAGTGAAAATGAAACTAGTTGAGTGAATTTGTATTTACATACTCAATTTAACTTTGTCCATGCTTCCTGCCCAATCTTTTCTGTTAGATTCTTGCATGAGCTTCCAGTGTAAAAGAGGCCACATCTGTAAGGCAGACCAACAGGGAAAACCTCACTGTGTCTGCCAGGATCCAGTGACTTGTCCTCCAACAAAACCCCTTGATCAAGTAAGTATTCTGCAAAATAGTCTTTAAGTGGCTCCAAAAGGTTAGTGACTGAAATAAAAATATTTGCCATTGAAATTTTTGCTTAAAAAAGGTAGATACCTAGGTTATCATTTGGTTATTTGGGATATTTGGAACATCTGCAGTTTTCATTCTACTGAGCTTATCTAGAGCTAAATTGTCATCACCGTTGGTACAGTTTAGTTGATTTTTTTGATGCCAAATGGAACAATTACGATTTTAATAGTCTCACCTACCTGACCACATCTTTGGCACAGCGCTGTTATCAGCATATGAGCTTTAAGGAGCAGAGTGTCTTCCAGTGAGCATTTGGCTCTATCAGCTTTTTCTTCTACTTATCTTCCATAGGTTTGTGGCACTGACAATCAGACCTATGCTAGTTCCTGTCATCTATTCGCTACTAAATGCAGACTGGAGGGGACCAAAAAGGGGCATCAACTCCAGCTGGATTATTTTGGAGCCTGCAAATGTAAGATTATGTCCCTCCTGTCAACCATCATCTCTGAGAGGGCTTGGGGTGAATCTGGACATGCCTGAATTATCTATATGCAAACAGGGAAAAGCTGATGTAGTTCTGAACACAAAAATTATCAACTGGAGAAACTTAAAAAATAAGAACTCTCAGGCCTTAACCGTAGGAGATTCTGATTTAACTGAACTAGGTTGGAATCCTGACATTGTTTTTTTTATTTGTTTTTGAAGTAACCTAGACAATTCTAATGTGCAGCCAGGGCTCAGAACCACTATGATAATGCTATCCACTTAATCACAGAGTTGAATCACTGGAATTTTGCTACATTATTTGCCCTCTTCCCAATTTAAGTTAAGCCTTTGCCAAGAAGTCTCTGACAACACATTTTTCCAGAAGTGTTTTAAGGCTGTCTTCCTTCCCCAGGATATTCTCAATTGTGTTTGGCTCCCCTTACCACTAAGTGATTCTCCACATTAGCAGTGCTCACTAATGTTTCCGGGTCTCCTCCCCTTCCAGACACAGGAGAGGATGAAACATGTCAGCCTCCTGGACGTTAGGTATGACCATATATCTTGCTTTGTCCAGGGAAATGTGAAAAAAGTCATCTATGTGAGTTCTGGGCAGAAGCATTCAAGAGCTGGGGTATGGTTCTCCATCCTCTGCTCCTTTGCCACCACAAACTCTCTTTGAGATAGTGGCCTCAAAAAATGGCAACGTCATTGGTGGCTGGCAAGATGGCCAAATAAGGACCACTCTGGTTTGCAGCTCCCAGTGAGATCAACGCAGAAAGAGGGTGATTTCTGCATTTCCAGCTGAGGTACCCAGCTCATTGGGACTGGTTAGACAGTGGGTGCAGCTCACAGAGGGGGAGCCAAAGTAGGGTGGGGTGTTGCCTCACCCAGTAACTGCAAGGGATCGGGAAACTCTCTCCCCTAGCGAAGGGAAGCTGTGAGGGACTGTGCTGCGAAAGACAGTGCATTCTGGCCCAGATACTACGCTTTTCCCACAGTCTTCGCAATCCACAGACCAGGAGATTCCTTCGGGTGCCTACACCACCAGGACCCTGGGTTTCAAGCACAAAACTGGGCCACCATTTGGGCAGACACCGAGCTAGCTACAGGAGTTTTTTTCCATATCCCAGTGGCACCTGGAATGCCAGCAAGACAGAACTGTTCACTTCCCTGGAAATGTGGCTGAAGCCAGTGAGCCAAATGGTCTAGCTCAGTGGATCCCACCCCCACAGAGCCCAGCAAGCTAAGATCCACTGGCTTGAAATTCTTGCTGCCAGCACAGCAGTCTGAAGTTGACCTGGGATGCTTGAGTTTGGTGGGGGGGAGGGGCATCCACCATTACTGAGGCTTGAGTTGGCGGTTTTCCCTTCACAGTGTAAACAAAGCTGCTAGGAAGTTCGGACTGGGTGGAGCCCACGGCAGCACCAGAAAGCCACTGTAGCTAGACTGCCTCTCTAGATTCTTCCTCTCTGGGAAAGGCATCTCTGAAAGTAAGGCAGCAGCCCCAGTCAGGGGTTTATAGATAAAGCTCCCATCTCCTTGGGACAGAGCACCTGGGGGAAGGGGCGGCTGTGGGCAGAGCAGACTTAAATGTTCCTGCCTGCCAGCTCTGAAGAGAGCAGCAGATCTCCCAGCACAGCACTCAAGCTCTGCTAAGGAACAGACTGCCTCCTCAAGTGGGTCCCTGACCCCCATGCCTCCTGACTGGGAGAAACCTCCCAGCAGGGGTCGACAGACATCTCATACAGGAGAGCTCTGGCTGGCATCTAGCAGGTACCCCTCTGGGACGAAGCTTCCAGAGGAAGGAACAGGCAGCAATGTTTGCTGTTCTGAAGCCTCTGCTGGTGACACCCAGGCAAACAAGGTCTAGAATGGACCTTGAGTGAACTCCAGCAGACCTGCAGCAGAGGGGCCTCTTAGAAGGAAAACTAATGAACAGAAAGGAATAGCATCAACATCAACAAAAAAGATATCCACACAAAAACCCCATCCAAAGGCCACTAACATCAAAGACCAAAGGCAGAAAATCCATGAAGATGAGGAAAAACCAACACAAAAAGCCTGAAAATTCCAAAAATGGGAATGCCTCTTCTCCTCCAAAGGATCACAACTCCTTGCCAGCAAGGGAACAAAAGTGGATGGAGAATGAGTTTGAGGAAGTGACAGAAGTAGGCTTCAGAACATGGGTAATAACAAACTCTTCTGAGTTAAAGGAACATGTTATAACCCAATACAAGGAAGCTAAGAACCTTGAAAAAAGGTTAGAGGAATTGCTAACCAGAATAACCAGTTTAGAGAAGAACATAAATGACCTGATGGAGCTGAAAAACACAGCACGAGAACTTCGTGAAGCATACACAAGTATCAATATCCAAATCGATTAAGTGGAAGAAAGGATATCAGAGATTGAAGATCAACTTAATGAAATAAAGCATGAAGACAAGATTAGAGAAAAAAGAATGAAAAGGAATAAACAAAGCCTCCAAGAAATGTGAGACTCTGTGAAAAGACCAAACCTACATCTGATTGGTGTACCTGGAAGTAATGAGGAGAATGGAACCAAGTTGGAAAACACTCTTCAGGATATTATCCAGGAGAACTTCCTCAACCTAGCAAGACAGACCAACACTGAAATTCAGCAAATACGGAGAACACCACAAAGATAATCCTCACGAAGAGCAACTCCAAGACACATAATTGTCAGATTCACCAAGGTTGAAATGAAGGAAAAAATGTTAAGGGCAGCCAGACAGAAAGGTCGGAATACCCACAAAGGGAAGCCCATCAGACTAACAGTGGGACTCTCTGCAGAAACCCTACAAGCAAGAAAAGAGTGGGGGCCAATATTCAACATGCTTAAAGAAAAGAATTTTCAAACTAGAATTTCATAACCAGTCAAACTAAGCTTCATAAGTGAAGGAGAAATAAAATATTTTACAGATAAGCAAATGCTGAGAGATTTTTTCACCACCAGGCCTGCTTTACAAGAGCTTCTGAAGGAAGCACTAAATGTGGAAAGGAAAAACCAGTACCAGTCACTGCAAAAACATACCAAATTGTAAAGACCATCGACACTATGAAGAAACTGCATCAACTAATAGGCAAAATAACCAGCTAGCATCATAATGACAGGATCAAATTCACACATAACAATATTAATTTTAAATGTAAACGGGCTAAATGCCCCAATTAAAAGACACAGACTGGCAAATTGGATAAAAAGTCAAGACCCATCAGCATACTGTATTCAGGAGACCCAGCTCACATGCAAAAACATACATAGGCTCAAAATAAAGGGATGGAGGACTATTTACCAAGAATTGGAAAGCAAAAAAAAAAAAAAAAAAAAAAAAAAAAAAAAAAAAAAAAAGCAGGAATTGCAATACTAGCCTCAGATAAAACAGGCTTTAAACCAACAAAGATCAAAAAACACAAAGAAGGGCATCACATAATGGTAAAGAGATAAATGCAACAAGAAGAGCTAACTATCCTAAACATATATGCACCCAATATAGGAGCACCCAGATATATAAAGCAAGTTCTTAGAGACCTACAAAGAGACTTAGACTCCCACACAATAATAGTGGGAGACTTTAAAACCCCACTGTCAAAATTAGACAGATCAACAAGACAGAAATTAACAAGTATATTCAGGACTTGAACTCAGCTCTGGACCAAGCAGACCTAATAGACATCTACAGAACTCTCCACCCCAAATTGACAGAATATACATTCTTCTCAGCACCACATTGTACTTATTCTAAAATTCACCAAATAATTGAAAGTAAAAACTCCTCAGCAGATGTGAAAGAATGGAAATCATAACAGTCTCTCAGACCACACTGCAATCAAATTAGAACTCAGGATTAAGAAACTCACTCAAAACTGCACAAATACATGGAAACTGAACAACCTGCTCCTGAATGACTACTGGGTAAATAACGAAATTAAGGCAGAAATAAGGAAGTTCTTTGAAACCAATGAGAATGAAGACAAAATGGGCCAGAATCTCTGGGACACAGCTAAAACACTGTTTAGAGGGAAATATATACCACCAAATGCCCATAAGAGAAAGCAGGAAAGATCTAAAATTGACACCCTAGCACCACAATTAAAAGAACTAGAGAAGCAAGAGCAAACACATTCAAAAGCTAGCAGAAGACAAGAAATAACTAAGATCAGAGCATAACTGAAGGAGATAGAGACACGAAAAACCCTTCAAAAAATCAATGAACCTAGGAGCTGGTTTTTTTAAAAGATTAACAAAATAGATAGACAGCTAGCCAGACTAATAGAGAAGGAAAGAGAGAAGAATCAAATAGATACAATAAAAAATGATAAAGGGGATATCACCACTGATCCCACAGAAATACAAACTACCATCAGAGAATACTATAAACACCTCTATACAAATAAACTAGAAAATCTAGAAGAAATAGATAAATTCCTGGACACATATACCCTCCCAAGACTAAATCAGGAAGAAGTTGAATCCCTGAATAGACCAATAACAAGTTCTGAAATTGAGGCAGTAATTAATAGCCTACCAACCAAAAAAAGCTGGGGACCAGACAGATTCACAGCTGAATTCTACCAGAGGTACAAAGAGGAGCTGGTACTATTCCTTCAGAAAGTATTCCAAACAATAGAAAAAGAGGGACTCCTCCCTAGCTCATTTTATGAGGCCAGCATCATCCTGATACCAAAACCTGAAGGATATACAAAAAAAAAAAAAAATTCAGGCCAATATCACTGATGAACATGGATGCGAAAATCCTCAATAAAATACTGGCAAACCAAATCCAGGAGCACATCAAAAAGCTTATCTACCACAATCAAGTCACCTTCATCCCTGGGATGCAAGGATGGTTCAACATACGCAAATCAATGCGTGTAAGCCATCACATAAACAGAACTAATGACAAAAACCACATGATTATCTCAATAGATGCAGAAAAGGTCTTCAACAAAATTCAGTATCCCTTCATGCTAAAAACTCTCAATAAACTAGGTATTGATGGAACATATCTCAAAATAATAACAGCTATTTATGACAAACCCATAGCAAATATCATACTGAATGGGCAGAAGCTGGAAACATTCCCTTTGAAAACCAGCACAAGACAAGGATGCCCTCTCTCACCACTCCTATTCAACATAGTATTGGAAGTTCTGGCCAGGGCAGTCAGGCAAGAGAAAGAAATAAAGCGTATTCAAATAGGAAGACAGGAAGTCAAATTGTCCCTGTTTGCAGATGACATGATTGCATATTTAGAAAACCCCATCATCTCAGTCCAAAATCTCCTTAAGCTGATAAGCAACTTCAGCAAAGTCTCAGGATACAAAATCAATGTACGAAAATCACAAGCATTCCTATATACCAATAACAGACAAGCAGAGAGCCAAATCATAAGTGAATGCCCATTTGCAATTGCTACAAAGAGAATAAAATACCTAGGAATACAACTTACAATGGATGTGAAGGACCTCTTCAAGGAGAACTACAAACCATTGCTGAAGGAAATAAGAGAGGACACAAACAAATGCTCATGGATAGGAAGAATCAATATCGTGAAAATGGTTGTACTGCCCAAAGTAATTTATAGATTCAATCCTATCCCCATCAAGCTACCACTGACTTTCTTCACAGAATTAGAAAAAAACTACTTTAAAGTTGGGAACCAAAAAAGAGCCCATATATCCAAGACAATCCTAAGCAAAAACAACAAAGCTGGAGGCATCACGCTAACTAACTTCAAACTATACTACAAGGCTACAGTAACTAAAACAGCATTGTACTGGTATCAAAACAGATATATAGACCAATGGAACAGAGCAGATGGCTCAGAAATAATGCCACACATATACAGCCATCTGATATTTGACAAACCTGACAAAAATAAGCAATGGGGAAAGGATTCCTTATTTAATAAATGGTGCTGGGAAAACTGGCTAGCCATATGCAGAAAACTGAAACTGGATCCCTTCCTTACACTTCATACAAAAATTAACTCAAGATGGATTAAAGACTTAAACATAAGACCTAAAACCATAAAAACCCTAGAAGAAAACTTAGGCAATACCATTCAGGACATAGGCATGGGCAAAGGCTTCATGACTAAAACACCAAAAGCAATGGCAACAAAAGCCAAAATTGATTAATGGGATCTAATTAAACTAAAGAGCTTCTGCACAGCAAAAGAAACTATCATCAGAGTAAACAGGCAACCTACAGAATGGGAGAAAATTTTTGCAATCTGTCAATCTAACTAAGGGCTTATACCCAGAATCTACAAGGAACAGATACAAATTTACAAGAAAAAAACAACCCCATCAAAAAGTGGGTGAAGGATATGAACAGACACTTCTCAAAAAGAAGACATTTATGCAGCCAAAAAACATATGAAAAAAAGCTCATAATCACTCGTCATTAGAGAAATGCAAATCAAAACCACAATGAGATACCATCTCTCACCAGTTAGAATGGCGATCATTAAAAAGTCAGGAAACAACAGATACTGGAGAGGATGTGAAGAAATAGGAACGCTTTCATATTGTTGGTGGGAGTAAATTAGTTCAATCATTGTGGAAGACAGTGTGGCAATTCCTCAAGGATCTAGAACTACAAATACCATTTGATACAGCAATCCCATTACTGGGTATATACCCAAAGGGTTACAAATCATTCTACTATAAAGATGCATTCACACATATGTTTATTACAGCACTGTTCACAATAGTAAAGACTTGGAACCAACCAAAATGCCCATCAGTGATAGACTGGATAAAGAAAATATGACACATATACACCATGGAATACTATGCAGCCATAAAAAAGGATAAGTTCATGTCCTTTGCAGAGACATGGATGAAGCTGGAAACCATCATTCTCAGCAAACTAACACAGGAACAGAAAACCAAACACTGCATGTTCTCACTCATAAGTGGGAGTTGAACAGTGAAAACACATGGACACAGGGAGGGGAACATCATATACCAGGGCCTGTCAGGGGCTGGGGGACTAGGAGAGGGATAGCATTAGGAGAAATACCTAATGTAGATGATGGGTTGATGGGTGCAGCAAACCACTATGGCATGTGTATACCTATGTAACAAACCTGCACATTCTGCACATGTATCTCAGAACTTAAAGTATAATTAAAAAAAAAAAAAAACGGCAGTGATCCTGAGCTCTGGGGAGACTGCAATGAGCAGAGCCCTCCTGCCAACTTGTATTGGACTTGTAGCAGGATTGCAAAATTGACTTCTGTTTCTTTAAGCCACTGAGATTTAGCATTATTTCTTACTGTAGTATCAGCTAATAGCTACCTTTTTCTCTATTCAATAGCACTTGTGCCCTCCACCTACAAATTTCAACTCTGATTCTACAGCAGTGATTCTGGGGCCTAGCTGCACATCCAAATAGATCTTGGAGCTTTAAAAACATCCTGATGCCCAGACTTCACGCCAGACCAATCACATCAGAATTTACTTGATTGGAAGCTGGCATTTGGTATGTTTTTTAAAACCCCAGGCAATTTTGTTGTGCTGCTGCCAGGGCTGAGGACCACTGTCATAATAATGGGGACCTGAGAAAGCTCTGTCAGTTGCCAGAAGTCGTTAAGCTTCCTATTATGAGGACTTGCCATAGGACACAAATAAGCCCAAAGATTACAGTACATTTTCTGCTTGTAACAGCTATTCCTACTTGTACGGACTTTGAAGTGATTCAGTTTCCTCTACGGATGAGAGACTGGCTCAAGAATATCCTCATGCAGCTTTATGAAGCCAACTCTGAACACGCTGGTTATCTAAATGAGAAGCAGAGAAATAAAGTAAGTTATCCACAGGTTAGCTTCTTCAATGTCTGTCTACAGGGCATGAGGAAGAAAGACGTGGTGGGGGGGCTACCTACCTCTGCATACTGGCAAAAGCCCACTATGCTTCCCCATGCCCGGTTAGCCCATGTGGCTTAACAGAATAATAGATGTCACCATTCACGCCACAAGGTTTCAGACACCACCAAACCGCCCCATTCTTCCCAATGGTCAGTGGCCTGAATTAGGGCTCTTCAATTCCTACCTAGAGCAAGCTCTGGTTGAGCAAAGTTAATATAAATTTAGCATTGATCTAGTCAGTCCAAACATCTTATTTAAATCTAAGCATTTGTTTTGTTCTCATAGGCCAGACATAGATGTATGATATAAAGTAAATCCATTACTCAAAATATCAGTAATATATTAAGATTAAAAAGCACAGAACATTGATTCCAAAAGCTTCCAGAGAAAATTCATTCACCAGATAGTTATTGAGTGTATCCTGGGTGCCAGAAATTGACCTAAATACTGGAGATACAGCAACGAAAAGAAAATCTCTGCCTTCATGAGTTTACATTCTGGGTGAAGAGACAGACTCTAAACAAATAAGTATATATGTGTGTGTGTATGTAATGTTTGTATATGCATATATTTGTACATACATATATATGCATATATGCAATTATATATAGTAAAATGAGCATTTATGTAAATATAACCAAATCAGCAAATATATGTATAAGTATGTCAGTTGGGATTAAACATGGTGTGAAGACAAATAAAACAAGAAGGAGGGTGTGCATTAACTGTGTCAGATGCTGTTTATAGGTTATGAGTTGAAGACTGAGAATTGGCCAGGGATTTAGCATGTCAAAGTCATAGCTGACCTTGATAGGAACTGTTCCTGGGGTGGGAGCATGTTTCAGGAGGGAAGCTCCAGTGGACAGAGTTCAACAGAGACTAGGAGGAATGGATGC
Organism: Homo sapiens; assembly: GCF_000001405.40. Lineage (NCBI taxonomy): Eukaryota > Metazoa > Chordata > Mammalia > Primates > Hominidae > Homo > Homo sapiens. The sequence goes on along the minus strand of NC_000004.12, from coordinate 87,481,464 downwards.
AGCAAGTATAGACAATCCTTTCAAGGAGTTTTGCTATGAAGAGATAAAGAGAAATGGGGTGGCAGCTGGAGTGGAAAGTGAGTACAAGAGTCCCACCTAGCAGTGGGAGATGGTAGAGGATGTTTGCACGCTTCTGGAAATAACCCAGTCAAGAAGGAAATGTTAGTGGGGAGCAGAGAATGCGCACAACTGCCAGAGGGCGTTCTTCGATACATGTCCCACCCAGAGGAGAGGGATTGGACTTAGGTTAGGAGCACAGGAAGGTCGCAGGGAGCAAAGTTGTGGTTCTGGGAGCAGGTGGAGGTCCTGTTTGCTTCCAATTACTCAGTGAAATAAGAGGCAACATCACAAGCTGAGAGTTTCACAGGCACTGCTCAAGAATAATTTCTAGCCCCCGTCTTGAATACCTTGTCACAGAGAGCCTTGAGGGTATTAGCTATGAAACAGGGAAATTTCAATGGGGCTGGCCAAGCAATAACACACCAGGGTGAAAGCAAGACTGAGTGGGCACTGGATGGATGACCTAGAAGACTAAGAGTGGACTCTGTCATCGGGGGAAGGAGCAGCACTTTTCACTAACTAATCACCTTAGTCAATTCAGCCCTTTTCATTAAAACCTCATAGTTTAAAAAAAAAAAAAAAAAGCAGCGAACATTACTTGGTTAAAAGAAAGAGGCAAAACATACTTAAAATATTTAAAAGTTTAAAAAAGAATTTAAATTTCTTCTAAAAACCAGAGGTTTCTTACATCAGGTGCTATTCTGTGTAGACATGAGAAAGGCCTGTAGTATTGATTGGAAGGAATTTCATTTAGTTGCACATGATGTCCTGAGCTTGTTTTCCCCTATCGTGTTACTGTCACTCTTCAAGTAAAGTTTATAGCAAGTGACAAGTCCATTACATTTGTCTGATTCTCTGACAGTCTTCTGCCTTCCTAATCCCAGGTCAAGAAAATTTACCTGGATGAAAAGAGGCTTTTGGCTGGGGACCATCCCATTGATCTTCTCTTAAGGGACTTTAAGAAAAACTACCACATGTATGTGTATCCTGTGCACTGGCAGTTTAGTGAACTTGACCAACACCCTATGGATAGGTAAGAACTCTTTACCTTTCCATTTCTAGATTTATCTCTCTGATAAAATATCTACATATCTATGCAAAAGGAAAATCTAAACAGATTTAGGACATTTCCCAGTTCCATTTTAGAATACTGAAATGCCTGGTTAGGAGTCTAAACACAAAGCTGCTGTGTATGATGTACTCTAGAACTTAAGGTATAATAATAATAATAAAAAAGTCTGAAACTTGATAGAGCTTATGTTGATAAAGTTTATGTTTTATAATTTTATCTTTTAATTCCATTTCTCAATGAACTTTTTGAAGTCCCCTTATCACAATTATCAAAGCTATGTAATATTCATTAAAAAAAAAAAGCTGCTGTGAAGATAGCAGAATATGGCTACACCACAGCTCCCAAGTTTACATGTTAAGGTCCAGCTTCCCACAGATACTCCTCCAACTTTCTCATTCTTGATCGTAAATTCCCAAGATTGGCCCAATGTGGGTCAAGTGACTACATCTAAAACAATCAGGTATGGCCAGTAGATGAGAACCAGGTTGTACCAACATGACTGCTGGGTACACCCCTATAGATTTAGGGTGGGGGAAGGACAGTTCCTGTGAAGACAGAAAACTTGTGAATCAACATCCCAAAAGCTGTCAACCTTACCCACAAATACTTTATTTCGTTGGCAGTTTTTATCTGTATTCTATTTATATCACATATACAGCAACCTTATGGGAGAAAAATGTCCTTGGTGAGCCTGAGAGTTAAATCTTCATGCACAAGCTACTCAATTAATAGGATGCCATGTATTTCATTGCAGAGTCTTGACACATTCTGAACTTGCTCCTCTGCGAGCATCTCTGGTGCCCATGGAACACTGCATAACCCGTTTCTTTGAGGAGTGTGACCCCAACAAGGATAAGCACATCACCCTGAAGGAGTGGGGCCACTGCTTTGGAATTAAAGAAGGTAAATTCATCACCAGCCAAAGAAGAGGGATGTCTTCTTCCTCAGACAAGCCCTAAGCCCTGCATGCTTCATAGAGAGGTCCTGCCACATGTTCGAATTGGAAGCTAGAAAAAAAAAGGTGGCAGCTTCCCAGATAGGACTCCCTTGGTGCACATGCTGTCATTGCGAAGTCACTTCTTACTACCTTTATGGCACTGTTTTCAAAGGGTAGCAAGGGTGAACATGCATTGAGGTCTCAACAGTCAGCTAAGCCTAGAAAGACGTGTGAATCCAGAATTGGGCCAAATCTCAGCAGGCTTTGTGTCCTTCCTTATTTCATATCCTACCTTAACCTGGGCCTTGGGCCAAACTTTTCAAAATTACACATAAAGAATAAAAAAGCAAGCCCATTTCTGACAATGGGAGATGTCAGAACATCTCAGAATCCATTACCAACACACTAAAGACTGGATTTTACATCACAATTAGTGCTGGGATAATCCTTTAACCCAAAACTCACCCATGGCTTCACCCTCAATGAATGGGAGCTGTGGGAGGGTAGATCAGAGTATTCTTTCTTTACTCCTGCAGTGGAGGAAATTAAATTTAGATGCTTGTTTTGCTGGGTTATGTCTTAATATGTTTCCTTTTCTTTCCTTAAGTTAGGCTTGAATTTTATGAGCAAGTATGTTTTCAATAATTAAGATATGAAAGGCTGGGCACGGTGGCTCATGCCTGTAATCCCAGCACTTTGGGAAGCCGAGGTGGGTGGATCACGTGAGGTCAGGAGTTAGAGACTAGCCTGGCCAACATGGTGAAACCCCGCCTCTACCAAAAATACAAAAATTAGGCGGGCTTGGTGGCACACGCCTGTAATCCCAGCTACTCGGGAGGCTGAGGCAGGAGAATTGCTTGAACCCGGGAGGCAGAGTTTGCAGTAAGCCAAGATCCCAACACTGCACTCCAGCCTGGGTGATAGAGTGAGACTCGGTCTCAAAAAAAAAAAAAAAATGAAAGATGTTCAAACAATGAGCATTCAAATCTACTCGCAATTCTCACCACACACACACACACAAAAATGATAGTATGTGAGGTAATGCATTCGTTAATCAGATCAATTTAACCATTCCACAAGGTATATATATTTTAAAAGGTCATGTTTTACATGATAAATACATACCATTTTTATTTGTCAATTAAAATAAATAAATAAGAAAAATACCACTCACAGAACATAAATTAACAGTGAACATCAAATCTCTGAAACAGAGATTTCATTCATGTTTACAATATACCCTTGGGATAAACATGCAGCTAAGCCGTTAAAGAAAGTCAGTTCATCAAATGTCAGAAGTTCCCAAAAAGAAATAACTTGTGCATACTTCATTTTTAAAATATCCCCCATGCATATGTAGAATGCCTTGAAATTAGAGAGGAAGAGGTGAAAGTATGAGGATTTACTTATTAATAAATAGGTAAGCAGAGAGGGTCAGTCCTTTTCCTTGCAATATCATTCTGTGAAATAAACATTCTGTGAAAGGATGTATATTTTTGTAAGTACCTAGTTCTGTGTATTAGTTGTCTATGCTGCATAGTGAATCACCCCACAACTTAACAGGTTAAATTCTTTCTCACGGTTTCCAAGGGTCAGGAATCTCACAGTAACTAACCTGGATGGCTCTGGATTAGGATCTCTCATTAGGTTGTGGTCAAGGGGTCATGCAGTGCGGCAGTTATCTGATGGCTTGACTGCAGCTAAGGGTCTACTTCTAAGCCCACTCCCATGGCTCTTTGCAGGAGCCTTCAGTATCCCATCGTGTAGGCCTCTGGTCTACAGGGCTGCCCACAGCATGGTATCTGGATTCCTCCAGAGCGAGTGACCAGGCAGAAAGAGAGAAAAAGCCAAGACTGAGGCCCCAATGTCTTTTATAACCTAACCTCAGAAGTTATATATCATGATTTCTGCCTCATTCTATTGGTCACACTGACCAATCCTGCTACAGCAGGAGGAGGAGAAGGAGACCACAGGGGGTTGGATGTCAATTGTCTTTCTAACATCTATGATACAAGCAGAGTACTTATAAAAATTCAAATATATCCTTCTGTCCTGCCCTGCCCACCATTATCTAGAGGGGAAAACTCAGCTGGGATAGGATGTATTTATGGATGCCTGTTTATATGACATGTGATTTTAAAGGACTGATAAAAAGGCAAATTTAAACAGAGGCCATTTTACTTAAGAAAACCAGTTGCATCTCATTCTTCCTTTTGCAAAGCTTCTGGCAGCTCTTCAGTGTGTAAGCTCACCCAGGCTCCGCTGGGCGGTTGTCTGGGAGGAGCAGGAAGGGCTTAAAATCCAGTCATTTACAAAGCTGCTAATGATCTTGTTTGTGCACTGTGGTTTGGCCATCATTGCCTTATTTTGAAGAAAGGAAAAAATTATCACATAATAAACCAATAAAGCAGATATTAAATATTCAGTCAGAACACGTAAACAACTTACTGCTTTGGAATGTAGCTAAAGAAAAACAAATTTATTTGTAAGTATACCCTTCTTTCCTTCAAGGCTGAGAAATCTACAGGAGAAGATAAAGTTTAGCCAATGTTTTCCTGAATTTTAACTGCCTGTGATAGACGTGCTCATATATTCCTCACATAGCTGTTATTAACTAGCTGTGTGAATTAGGGCATGTTGCTTAGCCTCAGTGAGTCTCATTTTCCTTATCTGTAAAAATGGGGTTCAGGTAACAGGTGCAGGAATCCTCATTTATTTTGTGCCCATGCATACCATGCATTGACACATACCCATGCTAATCGTCAGAAAACCCTCCAAGTGAGACTAACAGGGTAAACAACTCAGATGACGCAAGTTCCCCTAAGCCATTTAAAGACATTATCCTAAGAGTACTGGGGGGCCACCAAAGTGTTTCAAACAAGCCAGTGATTTCCCTGGGTTTGTATTTAAGATGGATTCTCCTGGTTACATTGTGGTGGGGCCAAAGAATTGTTGAGAGAATACTGTGGTAAACCCAGGCAAGAGCTGATGAGAACTTGAACTAGGGGAGTGACCAAAGGGGAAAAAAAGAGAGAAGTAAACATATTCAAGATATATTTTAAGATATAAGCATACTCAAATATATAGCATGTGGAAATAAGACAATATTTGATAGGAAATATGTGGGAGCCGAGAGCAGACAGGTGAGAGACTGAAAAGAGAAGTGCAATGCCTAGGTCCCTGGCTCAGAGCAGGCAGGGTAAATAGAGGTAAATAGAGGCATCTTCCACTGAGAAAACACAAGAACAGAAGTGGATTTGGAGTAAATGACAAATTCCATTTTAGATACGTTGAATTGTAAAGTATTAGGTTGCCTCCTAAGTGTTAGTTTCATGCAAAAGTAATTATGGTTTGGCCATTATCTCTACCACTCCATCAAAACTACCATTATCCCTACCATGCCCACCACTGATGGGCACCTACATTGATTTTATATCTTTGCTATTGTGAATAGTGCTGCAACGAGCATATGAGTGCATGTGTCTTTTTAGTAAAATGATTTTTTTATAAATATACCCAGTATGGGATTGCTGGGTTGAATAGTAGATCTGTTTTAAGTTCTTTGAGAAATCTTCAAACTGCTTTCCACAGTGGCTCAACTAATTTACATTACCAGTGTCTAAGCATTCTTTTTCTCTGCAGCTTCACCAGCATGTTGTTTTTAGACTTTTTAATTACAGCCATTCTGACTGGTGTGAAATGGCATCTTATTGTGAGATGGTTTTGATTTAAATTTTCCTGATGATTAGTAACGTGGAACTTTATATATATTTGTTGGCCGCTTATATATCAAGACAGGGTTTTGGAACTGAAATGCATATTTGAGGATTATAAGCATACAGAGAATAATTGACACCAGGGAAGGGAATTAATTCTCCCAAGGAAAACGCATTGAGTTACATGAAAAGGGGTCTAGGATTGAACACTGCACTGAGAAACAACAACATCTAGATGATGGATAGGGGAGGAAGAAAGAATTCAGTAAGGAGAATGAAGTTTCTCCTGAAATGAAGGAAGAAAACCAGGATAGTGCCATGCAAAGGAGGTGTTTCAAAGAGGAGGAAGAGATTAACAGTGCCAAATGCGACTGAGATGTCAAAGAAGTTGAAAGAAATAAGGATATCCTGGGTAGCCTTGGTTAGAGTAGTTCTGGTGGAATGGTAGACATGGAAGTCACATTCTATGGGTTGAGAAGAAAAGGGAGATTAGAAAGGGTAAGGAGTGGATGTTTGAGTGCAGGAAAGACCTAGAAAAGCTACAGAGCATTTTCTAAAAAAGGGGAGCATTTTTTAGAATAAAAGAGATTTGAGCACTCCTTTCATTTACTCATTCATTTGCTCAAGAAATCTTTACAGGCCAGGCGCGGTGGCTCACGCCTGTAATCCCAGCACTTTGGGAGGCTGAGGCAGGCGGATCACGAGTTCAAGAGATCGAGACCATCTTGGCTAACACGGTGAAACCCCGTCTCTACTAAAAATACAAAAAATTAGCCGGGCGTGGTGGCGGGCGCCTGTAGTCCCAGCCACTCGGGAGGCTGAGGCAGGAGAATGGCGTGAACCCGGGAGGCGGAGCTTGCAGTGAGCCGAGACTGCGCCACTTCAGTCTGGCCTGGGTGAAAGAGCGAGACTCCGTCTCAAAAAAAAAAAAAAAAAGAGAGAGAGAGAAATCTTTACAGATGGTCTACATAAATGCAGGCACTGTTCTAGAGGCTAAATATGAAACATATTTAAATGCTAATGGAAGGGTCTAGTAAAAAAGGAAAGGTGGAAGAAGGATGTAAGAAAAAAAGAGGAAAGTAAAAGGAGAATCTTGTGAAGGTCAGAAGAGATCTTGAGCATAGGTAGAGGAATTAGCCTTAACGTCAAGAAAAAGGACAATCTCTTATCTGAGCAACAGAAAGAAGACAAAGGCTATGGGTGCAAATATAAGTAAACGTATAACTAATGAAGCTATTATCTCCATTTTACATATGAAGCCAGTACTCAAAAAAAAAAAATCAAAGTCCATAATCTTTCCCATTCTCTGGGCTAGATAAAGATTATTAGCAGGAAAATTACCTAGTGCCCACACAGAGTAGTATAATAGTTTGTTAGGGTGGGCCATGTTGGTAAGGAGTGATCTTATATTTGCTAGAGGATGCTGTCTTCTTCCACAGGTATGGCGACAATTTCTTTCACAAGCTACTCAATTAAAAACTGGAATAACCTAGCACTACACTTCTATTTATTTCCATTATTTTTCAGCTCACCTTCTAGATTAGTATACTGGGCACTTCTTGGCTGGACCTCCCGTTAACCTGCTCTTCCTCTATCAGTGGTTCTCAACCCTGCAGCCAAATTACCTGCAGAGTTTTCTAAACGTCTACATGCCATTAGTCCACCCCTAGGGATTCTGATTCTAGAGTCCAGAGGTGAGGCCTAAAAATACATATTTGTAAAAGTTCATGAGTGATGTTGCTGTCCTACCAAAGTTGAGGATCACCATTATACTGCCTTATTAGATGGTTTCTCTAATCCCCCAACTCTAATATTGTTTGTGCTACTACTCTGGCTACTTTCTAAAAGTGTCATTTTGCTTCTTGTTTTTTTATAGAGGACATAGATGAAAATCTCTTGTTTTGAACGAAGATTTTAAAGAACTCAACTTTCCAGCATCCTCCTCTGTTCTAACCACTTCAGAAATATATGCAGCTGTGATACTTGTAGATTTATATTTAGCAAAATGTTAGCATGTATGACAAGACAATGAGAGTAATTGCTTGACAACAACCTATGCACCAGGTATTTAACATTAACTTTGGAAACAAAAATGTACAATTAAGTAAAGTCAACATATGCAAAATACTGTACATTGTGAACAGAAGTTTAATTCATAGTAATTTCACTCTCTGCATTGACTTATGAGATAATTAATGATTAAACTATTAATGATAAAAATAATGCATTTGTATTGTTCATAATATCATGTGCACTTCAAGAAAATGGAATGCTACTCTTTTGTGGTTTACGTGTATTATTTTCAATATCTTAATACCCTAATAAAGAGTCCATAAAAATCCAAATGCTTATGCAAGTGTATTTCCAGTTATTATTTAGACAATCAAATGTAAAAGATCAACCCAAGACTCACACTTCATGTCAAATTATAATTGTGCTTCCTAAACCCTACTACCTTAAGTGTGTGTGTGTGTGTGTGGTTGAGAAAAAAGTGTGAGACATCTCTTACAGGAAACAAATACTCAGTGGCAAGATAAGAGGTGCTCATTAATGTCCTTCATCATTATGTAAGTTTAAACAGAAAAAAACTAATATCAAGTGCTTTTTTACCAAATTTGATATAAAATGTAGAACAAGCTGGGTGCAGAGGCTCACACCTGTAATCTCAACACTTTGGGAAGCCAAGTCGGGAGGATTCCTTGAGCTCAAGATTTCAAGACCAGCCTAGGCAACATGGAGAGACCCTGTCTCTATGAAAACTTAAAAAAATAGCCAGGGGTGGTGGCATGTACCTGTGATCCCAGCTACTTGGTGGACTTAGGTAGGAGAATTACTCGAGCCCAGCAGGTCGAGGCTGCAGTGAGCTATTGTGCCACTGCACTCCAGCCTGGGTGACAGGGCAAGGCCCTGTCTCAAAAAATAAATAAATGAAAATAAAATGTGAAAGATTATGCACTGCTTGATCCAATTAATTCTAACTTTTTGTGCAGTTGAGCATGTGTGCTGGGGAAGAGGGCGGCCCTGCAAAAATTTCACATAATCATTGCCTCACAATAAAGAAAATGTAATGGTAAAACAGGTAGAGGGCCATAAAGCGTCTTGATGTCCAATGTAGAAAGAGATTAAATATTATTAATGTAAATTGATAGCGAAAAACCTGTCATAAGCAAAAATTTGTCTTTTTATTTGCGCTCTTCTTTGGTAACTATTACAGTAAAAGCTAGATCACAAAAATATGACATTATAATATAGTTTTCCAAGTTCTGAAGTAAGGCAATAAAAGGACATGTCACTCACTTTATTTGACTATTTGAAAGAAAATGGTTTTTTACATATTTTTCTAGCTGAAATGAAAGATATCAATACAATTATCTTTTACTATTTTTTCAAATAATCAAAAATGTGTTGTTGTTGTTGTTGTTGTTACAAACCTTATCTGTGATAGTCACTGAGAGAACATGCCCCTAGGAATTTTATCTGAAAGATATTTACAGAATAGTTTATTTTTTTATCAGAATAATCTTCTCTGAGTATTTCAAAATTTCATTCGTTATCTCTTTCATAGCTCAATAAATTACTTATTCTTTTTTTTTTTTTTTTTGAGATGGAGTCTTGCTCTGTCACCCAGGCTGGAGTGCAGTGGCACAATCTCAGCTCACTGCAACCTCTGCCTCCTGGGTTCAAGAGATTCTCCTGCCTCAACCTCCTCAGTAGCTGGGATTACAGGCGTGCGCCACCACGCCCAGCTAATTTTTGTATTTTTAGTAGAGACGAGGTTTCACCATGTTGGTCAGGCTGGTCTCGAACTCCTGACCTCGTGATCCGCCCACCTCGGCCTCCCAAAGTGCTGGGATTACAGGCGTGAGCCACCACACCTGGCCAATTACCTTAACTAGAACCATATCATACTATGTCCTTTCTAAAAAATTAAGTTCAATTTGATTAATCAAAATCGAATTAAGTATTATTTGTAACTTTTTCCAACTACAGAAATAATTTTAGGAACTATTCCAAATTTCAGAACGTTTTTATATGAAGCTGAAAAGGTCTTAGCTAATTACAAACTAGGTTGCTGGGAACAGTGAAGTTGTATTCAGAGGTATTAATTAGGCCTAAATTATCTTTTACCCTCAGACAACTTTCAAAAATATTTTAGAATAGTGAAAAGTGATTTTAACACCAAGGTAAGGAAACCACCTCAATATCTACTAAAAAATTTTGTTTGAAAATAATATTCATTTTGAAATGAAAAATATTTAATAAGAGAAAATCTCAAACCTTAAATTTCTGTATCATTTAAGGCTCTTACATGTACAGCTAGCTCATCTATTATAGAGGCACGTTAATATTCTTGGTGGTCACAATTTTTAATTGTGGGTTGTTTGTGATAAAGACATACTCTAATCCCAACCTAAGAGATTATTTTCTCAGTTATTTTCTCAGTAATCAGTCTGTAAGTCTACCTCTGTGTAATTGAGATATTTTGGAAGTTGGAGCTCCTGGTGTGAAAGCAATTATTCAGTTTAGCTTTGAATTTTGTGACTCATATTGCCCATAACCATAAAGGCATTAGTAACATGGCTTAAATACTAGATGGGCATAGAGATTCTAGGTGATCACACTGCTCCTTGAATTTGTTGCTCCAAGGGCCACTGAAGCAAAGGTAATTGAAGAGATATATAGTATAATTTGGACTGATTCTAATGCACTAGATAAAAGAATGTAACATATTCTTGTATTGGGTAATTTAATGATTTCTAACAGGTCCACTTCTAATAAGAAGAAAGAAATTAGTGTTTGAATCCAGAAAGAAGAAAAATACAAAGAAAAAACATGAAAAAGGAAAAGGGAAATAAGTTGCCTAAATTCAGGCAAAGTAGCACTAAGATTGAAATCAGAGTTGGGTTTTAGATATATATAACAGATGAAGTGTGATTTATAGATATAACTTGCCTCAAATGCTGGAGATAAGTCTTAATAATAACATGATAAAGTTGTTTTTCTTTCAAAATCCAATTCCAGAATACAGTGATTTGGTTTGAAACTCACAAGGTAAGTTAATTTGAATTAAGTGCGATTTTTAAAACATAAAAATGTCTCCTTTCAGAACCAATGGACCAATAAAAGGCCAGTTGATTTCCTTTATTGAATCTGAATTTACTCATATTGTGCTGATTTTCTACCAACCCATTACATCTTACAAAATTTTTCCCATACAATTTCCTTCCCGAGAACTATAACTGGCAATAACAGCAACCAGACTATATGAAGGCCTGGTAAGTCTCACAGAGGTACAAGCTTCAGGTGGATTTATTTGTGTATTACATAAAAACTTTCCTCTCATTTTAGCCAGTAGTGATCAATTACTAATAATAAGCATGATGTAACACTGGTGTTTAAAGATTTGTGAGTAGAATTGAGCACAGTGGCTCACACCTGTAATCCCAGCACTTTGGAAGGCTGTGGTGGGAAGGTTGATTGAGGCCAGAAGTTCAAGACCATCCTTGCAACAGGGGGGCAACATAGCAAGACCCCATCTCTAAGAAAATTTTTTTAAAATTAGCCAAGTGTGGTGGTGCACACCTGTAGTCCTAGCTCCTTGGGAGACTGAGGCAGAAGGATCACTTGAGCCCAGCAGTTCGAGGGTACAGGAGGCTATGATTGTGCCACTGCACTCCAGCCTGAGTGACAGAGCAAGACCCTGTCTCAAAAAAAAAAAAAAAAAAAAAAAAGATTTGTGTGTAGAGATCACAAACGCAACTTCAGGGACCAAACATGTACAGTGTATAGGCCGAACTGTAACTTTATAAGAAAGTAGAAAGTAATGGGCTATGTTGGGAGCTAAACAGTGCATGTCTTGTCTAAGGAATTCAAAGCTTTTAAAAACACTCTTGTAGGCTTACAAAACCTATGTTTGGAGGCAGGATTTATCTTGACCACTATTTCAACACCTCTAAATAGGAATAGGACTTACATAGAAAAAAACTCGAAATGATCTCCTACCCCTTCAATTCCAGGCTCGACCTTTAGAATGAAATTTCTCATCTTGGCTGGCCTTTTGAGCACTGCCACTGCTCTGCCCATCCCCGTGAGTACACCCTCCTCAGCTGCTGACTCAATTTCAGATTTAGAGTCATCGCATTTCTCGGCTAGAAAGCAGGTCTTATCTTTTCATTTCACAAAAGAGGAAAGCGGAACCCAGGAAAGTCATAGAACTAGGAGTTCACCACTCTTTGTCAGTCCAAGACTCTGCCCAGTACAAATCTCAGCTCCATATGCCATGTGCTAGCTGTGTGACTTTGAACTAACCCATGGTTTCCTTGTCTATAAAATGAGTCCTAGGAACACCTCAGAGTTGCACGGAGATGATTTTTTTAATGCATCTAAGGCAGAGAAGGGTCCTATTTGAAAGATAGGATGTTCTCAATAAACTCAGTGATATAGAACAAATATTCTGCAGTGACCCAGGTCTAAATTAAGCAGTTTGAATTGAGTTTCATTTGTAATGCCCTTGCCCCAAACCATCTCATGTTTTCTTAAAAGGCTGTTACATGGAAATGCTCTGACACCAAAGGACTATCTACCTCATTGTAGATTTGATTTTAAAGAAGGAAATATTTAAGATAACTTACATTGATTACTAAATTATGAATATAAAAACAACTTATGCCTGAATTATATTTGAGTGATCATACAGACACACCTTTAAAGTCCAATTTTTGAAAACCAGATTTGGATAAAAAGCTACATTCATCTATAGTGCCCTTGATAACAAACCTAATTTGTTTCTTTAGACCACAATCCTTTTTGCCAAAGCTGGCAAGTATCGTGGTCTAAAATTCCAAACAATTTGTATTGCCTGTTTCTTTAGGCTGATGGGAATGCTGCAGTATACATATTTCATTAATTCTAATATGTACTTTTTGATATTTCAGCAGCTCTGAAATTGAGCTGTGTCTTAAAAACACAATTTGATAAAGTGTCACGGCAGCTTAACAGCAGCGCTTTTCTTTTTTGGTAATTTATGAAATAATGGTGCTTTTGACAATGATAGCATCTAAGAATATATGAAATACTGTAATCCCAGAACATCATTAACTTCACCTATATAGACATTTTGTCATCAACTGACTATATACAAATGAGATCCACTGAGTCTAATCTGGGTTTACTAGTCTGAATATGAGGGCACCAAGTAGGCAAGAAACTCTCTCCCCTGCACACTTTGTATCAAAGGAGCTTTTGAAGAAGTGAGGGAGCTTTCAAAATTTGTGTTTGGGGTGCAGAACTTAAGTGTACATTTCCACACTCCCTTCACTTTGAGTTTATAACTACTGAGAACTAAATCAAGAACACCATTCAAAGATTTACAAAAGGAAATATTCATGTAATATGGAATTAATCTTAAGAAATGTAAATAAAAGCATTCTTTGGATATAAATTTAAAAGCAAAAAGCCTTGGTCTTCCAAATCATTGCACAAAATTAATTAAACTTTTCCCTATTAGATATCCAACTGCTTTTTATTTCAGAAGTGAAGTTACATTACTGATGGGTATAATGCTCCATAGTGGCTTATTACTTATTCTCCTTTAGAACAAAACCTCTCTTTAGTGGATAATGTATTTCCATATGCTGCTTTACCTTGTTGCTGTTATTGTTTTGCAAGCTCGAACAATATGCTGAAAGTTCCAGTGAACAGGTGAACTTCTAATTGTATTTTTAAATAATGCATTCATCATTTTAAAAGTCTGCCATTGTCTGAAATGACTGACATCATGTTTCTTTTTACAGAGATTTATCTTTTACCCACCACAAGTACCACCATTTTTCCCTCAGGTCCTCTTTCCCCTACCTCCGCAACCGCCCCTGGTAAGCATGGGTTTGGGGAATCTGAAATAGCTAAAAGGATTTATTTGTTGGATGGTGGTTATGAAACTTTCCAAATTTTGATACTGAAATATGAGGCTTTAGGCAGTCCCCAGGAATCAGCTATTCAAACTTCTCTCCCATATAGCTTATAGTGGAACGTGACAAGGGGCTAGCAAATTTCCCTCCAAATCTTCAGTGCCCTCTCGCAGTGTTTCTCTGCACTTACTATTAAAAAGGTGTTTGTGCTGAATTACTTTGACCGTTACGAGCTTACTCTTTATGAAGAGAATACTTCTTTCTATAATATCCATTCTTTTGCTTTTTCAAATTCACCTTGTTGCTTTCTTTCTCTAAGAAGATTTTTTTTCCCCAGCTTTCTATAACTTTTTCCCAAGTTCAAGCAAAATAGTTATTTTGCTTTTCTGTTTGGACTCTCTCCAGGCTCTCCTAATATCTGGATTCTTAAAACATTTTTTCAATAAAGTTTGGAACAATGCTAAATACACAATAGAGTTGCCTTTATTCTATATATAACACTTTTGTAAGTCGACTACATTATAGAGTCAACGGTGAGTGCTTGAGGTACAAACAGTATAAGTTCAGATCTGATGAGGAAGAGAGACTCATAAAGGGAAACTACAATGTAATTTGATAAGTATTTCGAGACACAAATACAAAGCTATGGATCAAAGACTTCAGAGAAGACAGTATCTGAACCAGGTCTTGAAGGAAGACAAATGGATGAAACATTTCAGGCAGAGGAACAGCAAGTGCATGGGTGCAGACTTGAAAAGCACAAGGCAATTTGCGGGTAGAAAATTATTTTAGTCTAAAATAATGATGCTGCAACACAGATTGGGGCCTTGTTAAATTTGGATAAGTATTTAAGCAATGATTTTTTTCTTTAAAAATCACATACATTTTAAAACTTCACATACCCCTTATTTACAGACAAGGACCTCACTATGTCACCCAGGCTAGTCTCAAACTCCTGGGCTCAAGTGATCCTCCCACCTCCCACAGGCTCCCCAGTAGCTGGATTATAGGTGCACACCACCATGCCCAGCTCACAAACATTTTAAAACTACATCTTGCTTAATATTGTCTGATCTCCTAAATATTTTTAAATATACAAACATGATTTTGTGTAACTGTTTTTATATCTAAATTTAATAAACACCTTCCCTTTGCTTGCATTTAATTTCAAACTGTGTTTCTCTCAACTTTTAAAAATTTGTCACTAAACTTAGTCCTCAATAGAACATTTCTTCTCCTTTAATGTTTTTACTTGTTCTGATTGAATCCCAGCTGTTAAATTCTAAATATTATTCTTGCACTTATAATTAATTGCTAATTATTTTGGTTCTAGTCAGGACTAGGTGCATTGTTTCCCTATTGTTTGC
Organism: Homo sapiens; assembly: GCF_000001405.40. Classification (NCBI taxonomy): domain Eukaryota; kingdom Metazoa; phylum Chordata; class Mammalia; order Primates; family Hominidae; genus Homo; species Homo sapiens. Next base: position 87,466,405 of record NC_000004.12, on the reverse strand, counting down.
TAAAATTTGTTTTTTTTGTTTTCGTTTTTGTTTTTTGAGACAGAGTCTCTCTCTGTTGCCCAGGCTGGAGTACAGTGGTGCAATCTCAGCTCACTGCAACCTCCGCCTCCCAGGTTCAAGCAATTCTCCTGCCTCAGCCTCCCGTGTAGCCACCATGCCTGGCTAATTTTTGTGTTTTTAGTAGAGATGGGTTTCACCATGTTAGTTGGGCTGGGCGAACTCACTCCTGACCTCAAGTGATCTGCCTGCCTCGGCCTCCCAAAGTGCTAGGATTACAGGCATGAGCGACCGTGCCCTGGCAAGATTTATTTTAAACTGATGCAAAATCTTGGAGTCTTGGTTTATAATTAGAACTTAGGAATCGCTGTTAACATTTAAATTTAAATTTATTTAAATCTATATGACAATTAAAAGAATCACTCTTCTGTGAAATGGAAACTCTTCCTACCACCAGATGGCAGACTAGTATCTTCAAAGCAAGCAAAGAAAGTAACACTTACTGTAGGGAAAGTGGTAGATTTGTAAAAACTATCAACACATTAAGACAGATTCCTGGGCTTTAAGTTAGATAAATTAAGAAGAACAACCATACCTCTTGAAAGAAAATATTATATTGAACCCACTAGATTCTAATCTCCACCAAATAGAAGGTGAGCTCTCTAAGTGTCATTTACTGCTATCCCTAAACCCTAGATATAGAATAATTGCTCAGTAAATATTGTAGGGATGGATGGATAGATGGGTGGAAGGATGAGTGAATGTATGAATAAATGAGAAAAAGCAAGAGAGAGTGTTCACAGTTTCATTCACAATTTACTTTTTTTTTTTTTTTTTTTTTTTTTTTTTGTAGATTTCTATTCCTTTTCCTTTTCCTTACAATCCAAATCAGGTGGTTATACTTAAAGCTTCCTTAGGAAATACTTAAACTAATACAAAACAAAAACTTGAAAATTCTTTAGATTTAATTGGGGAGAATTTGATACCAATAATTACTGGCTAACATTCTCTTTGGGGGACCACTAGTTATTGATATTTTGTTTGATTTGAGTAATTGAATGTTCAAATTTCACATATCCTTGAAAACTGAATTACCTAAGACCTGAAACTTTCCTTATTTGTGTAGAATAAACCCAGGGACCAACCAGTAGAAAAAGCACTTAATTTGAAGTTAAATGATCTGGAGATGTAAGCTCCATGTCTGCCCTTTAATACTTTGGAATTATCTTTAACTCCTGTGACCCTTATCCTCTTCTAGAATATAAAACAGTGACAACAGATGATTTACAAAGTCCATTTCACCTCTAAAATTTTATGCTTACATTTGTCATTAGTGGGGGTAAAATGCATTCTTATTGAAATGTAATATATCCTAGAAGCATTTGAAATAGATTTAAGGTTACAGTCATGGTATAAAGGAATTGCTTAAATTTTACTTTTGAAAAGATTTTACTGAATTAGTGATAAATACATAAGATGAGGCGGATTCAGTATCATACAAAAAAGTTATGTATATTTCAGCATATTAACTCCAAGTAATAATATTCCTATTATGATTTTCTGTTGTTGTTTTTTGAGACTGAGTCTCGCTCTGTCACCCAAGCTGGAAGTGGTGCAATCACAGCTCACTGCAACCTCCACCTCCCAGGTACAAGTGATTCTCCAGCCTCAGCCTCCTGAGTAGCTGGGACTACAGGGACGCACTACCACGCTGGGCTAATTTTTGTATTTTCTGTAGAGATGGGGTTTCACCATGTTGCCCAGGCTGGTCTCGAACTCCTGGACTCAAGTGATCCTCCTCCCTTGGCCTCCAAAAGTGCTGTATTACAGGCGTGAGCCACCATGCCCAGCACTCCTATTACGATTATAGGAAGTAATATTATTAAAGTTTTCTTTCAGAAAGAGGTGATCCCAAAATAGTCTTTTTCAAACCCAATAATCATAGGTTTAATAATCTTTCCAAGAAGTCACTGCTATGTCTGGAGCCCACAACAGAAAATACAGACTACATGTTTCCAGAGATAGGTTTGGGGTTGGGGGGGGGTACTTAAAATATTAGTGAATTTTAATAATTGAACTTTAGAAATGATGAGAATTCTAAAAAGCATGCTCTCGTTTACCAAGCTAATATAAAATATATAAGATACAAAAGTAGATGAAATGCTGAATTACAACTCCTTACTTTGACTGTTTCCTTTATTCTAGGTCCTCACACCTAATGATCTTATCGCGGTAAATATATTCTGCCCTGTTATTCTATAAAGTCCATATAAATACTACATTCAACATCTCTCAATGGTCCTAATTAAGGTAGGGAGCAGAGAAAGGCACCCTAACAGAACAAACGCTACCTGAGGGCATTGTTCGTGCCTAAGATCTGTCACAGTTGGGACAGTGTTTAGCTTAAATATTACTGCATACACTCTAAGACAGACAGCTCAACAAGTAAAGAGATTCACCTTTTAGACGGAGTTGGTCAATTTCTTGAGCAAGCTGCCAGAATCTTAAAACAGGACCATGTGGATGCTACAAAACAATTTTCCAGTAAAACTGCTTGTATAAGCAAGTTCTCAAAACAAAGTATTCATAGTTGTCCTAAAATTTTAGTTCAAGTATCATTCACACAGGGAATCTGAATCATTTATGAAAGATGGGACTTGTATGGAAGTGTACACAGAGGGTTTCTTAACCATTCAAATCAATTTTCTAACTTTCAAATATGGTAAATATCATTACAAAGCTGTAGAAAGAAAATATTTCTGTGAATTAAAGGTATTTAAATCCAGATATTGTCATTTTAAAATCTTGTATCATATAAATAATATACTAAGCAATAAAATGGAATTTTTCAATAAAATAGATTTTTGTATACAAAGTATACTAACTTGCATATGTAATAAGTTAAATGTAGGTTTAAAAATTAACCTATTGACAGCACTGATCATCAATTTTTCTTCCTTCACAGTTACTCATTGCTATTTTGAACCAACTAGGGGTAAGGCTCTATTTTTATGCTATAATAAACTACACATTTACTTAATAGACTAAAGATAACATCTTACTAAATTTTTTTTTGTTGTTTTTTTTTTTAACTTTTGGAACTTCTCTGGGGTAAGATTTTATTTCCATGACTAAATTGATAAAGGTAAGTTATATTCAATGCCACGAAAGGTAAGAGAAACTCTTTGTAACTATAAAAATATGAGAGTCAACCTCAACTGATCTACCAAACTAGAACTCATAAGTTATAAACTCATTTCCTCCAAAATCTTTACATCAAAATTTTTGCCAGTCTAAAAAGGTATTTTTTAATAATGTCCTTGATATTTCACAAAATTTAAATTTACAGGCATATATGCAATATGAAATTTCAAACAACAAAGTTTGCTTCAGGCTTTTTTTTTTTTTTTTTTGAGGAGTCTTGCTCTGTCACCCAGGCTGGAGTGCAGTGGCGTGATCTCGGCTCACTGCAACCTCTGCCCCCCCAGGCTCAAGCGATTCTCCTGCCTCAGCCTTCCTAGTAGCTGGTATTACAAGCATGTGCCACCACACCTGGCTAATTTTTACATTTTTAGTAGAGACGGGGTTTCACCACATTAGCCAGGCTGGTCTCAAACTCCTGACCTCAAGAGATCCACCCGCTTCAGCCTCCCTAAGTGCTGGGATTACAGGCGTGAGCCACTGTGCCCAGGCTTTCAGGCTTATTTTTGTCTTATAGGCAATTCATAGTAAATAATGAGAAAAGCCTACTGTAAAACTGCCACACCTAGAAATGGACTGATCTCAAGGCAAGGTAACACATCTTAACAAAAAGCATTAACTTGCTGGATACAAAGGCTACAAACTTTGACTTCTACTTTGACTTTCACTGAAGTTTGCTTTCATGTAAAATACATACCAAAAAAAAGAAAGAAAGAAAGAAAGAAAGAAAGAAAAACGTGGAGACCAAAAAGGTATATATCCCTTTTGTTGTTCTAATATTTTTAAGAAACAGGATCTTGCTATGTTGTCCTGGCTGGACTACAGAGGCTATTCACGGGCCCAATCATAGTGTATGTACTACAGCCTTGGAGAAAGAAACTGGATTTCCACCCAACTGCTTCTCTCCTAACAAGTTACATTGCCCTGAAGTGCTTATTTAGTACCTTTTACCATTTCAAATACTTAGACTATCTGAGGCCAAGTGGGAGAGATTAAGCTCTATGCTGTAAACAGTTAAGGATTCAATTTATCAGCATTTAACAGTTCCACATTATTTTCCACCTCCAACATACATGATTATACCAATATTAACACATCAGCAATAAAATAACCATAAAATGGGAGGCATGGGTGAAGAAGGAATTGTGGTGAAAATATCTTCATATAAATTATAACTATAATCTGTATTATCTATTTTGACAGAAATAATTCTCCCACTACTATGCCAGAAGTTACGTATGGTTAGTAAAATCTCCAAATTCTTTCATGCATTTATATCCTTTTCAATATTTTTATCATGAGTTTAATTGCCTCTGATTGTGTCCACAACGGTAAATTAATAATATGATGAAAATAGGTGTAAACAAGACCAATTAATTACAAATGCTTTCTTCAAAGGATGTATTTTAAAGTCAGTTTATTAAAACTCCAGAAATATTTTAGAAAATAACCACCACCAGAAGTCCTAAGCATAAGAAAACATACTGTTAAATAAGAATAGCCTCTCGAAGTGCTCAGAATTTTCAAGTTCCCCCTTTAGCCACCAAATATTTAAAGTAGTTATGATCCTAAGGAAACTTTGCATATCCTTCTATTTGAGTTTGAAATGCTTTCAAAAGCTCAAGAACACCTGCTGACAAAACAAACACTGACTGTGGCCCTTTATCCTTAGGTTATCATCAAATAAACTATCTTTGGGCCAAAATTACACAAACAACTTCAACAATGCTAGCCAAATCAGGTGTGGCCCTTAAATTTCAACTCACAAATCATAACTGCAATACTATGAATAACATGAGTACTACTTATGTTACACATAATCTTCCAAGCTGCATACTTAAATAATGTATCATAAAAGACTCTTAACCTTAGTAGGGAATACAACAGACAGAATAGCTTTGCAACCCAGTCAGACCATGATTCAAATCCCAACTCTACTAGCAAATAAAACTGCGGGCAACCTTTCTAAATATCAATGTATTCATTTGTGAAATGGGAATACTACTACCTAACAGGATGTGGATAGAATTAAGAAATATAATAGATACTCAGTAAATGGCAAATATTATTACTTATTTTACTAAATGTCTCTAAAATAAAAAACATTCATTTTACATAAGACATAAGGAAAATAAGTATGAAGGGAATATTACCTAGTGATATAGCAGATAGATCTTCCTCTAGGAATATCTGAAACTAACATTTTGTTTTTTCCCTATTATAGATGGTGCTGGATATTTACAGTTATCAGAAGAGTATCTACTTCTATCTTAACTATAGTTGATGGTAGTTTTATAATTTTGCATACTTTGTGCATGTTCCAGTGAAAACTCCAAAAAACCATAAAGAATGTATCTAGACCATGGGCTTTAGTCATACTTTAAATAAACCTTTAATATAACCAAATGTCTTTATTAATGGCAGTTCAAATGTATCAAAACTATTAAACAGGCTGGGCATGGTGGCTCACACCTGTAATCCCAACACTTTGGGAGGCTGGGGTGGGAGGATCTCTTGAGCCCAGGAGTCCAAGACCAGCCTGGGCAACATAGGGAAATTCCAGTCTCCACAAAAAAAAAATAAAAAAATTAGCTGGGTGTGGTGGTGCACACATGTGGTCCCAACTAATTAGGAGGCTGAGGTGGGAGGATTGCTTGAGCCCAGGAGGTTGAGGCTGCAGTGAGCCATAAGAGCACCATTGCACTCCAGTGGTGCTATCACGGGCAACAGAATGAGACCCTGTCTCAAAATACTATGACACACAAGTAAAGGCCAAAATTTTCAGAAAATTGCTCAAACTGTTAAAAGAGCTTTTGTAAACAAGTAGCTTCAATTTTGGAGAACTCCATTCAGTGATAGGAAGAAGCAATTTCTTCCTGCCAAATGGTGAAAGTAGAAGCCAACTCTTCCATGCAGGAAGGCCATCTAACCTCTTGAGCAGGTCATCCTCATCAAGTATCAATCCCTTATTACTCACCGTAGGGACCAGGATTTTATGGATTTTTAGAAGTTAATACATACATAAGCCCTATTTATAACTACTCCAGAAGGGTTCAAGGTATCCTGAAATCAAACATTCTAATGCTTTTCAGGAAAATCTACAGTCGTAACTAAGGGGAAAAAAGCCTCCTGTCAGTTCAATTCAGGTTTACCACCAAAATTTCTGACATCAAATAAACGAAACAAAAAACAGAACAACACTTTGTTTTACCTTAACCGTAATTCTGCTCTCTAGCTACAGAAGCCTAATCTTTTTCAAACATCTGAAGGAAAGAAAACAATAATGTCTGTCTCCCCTAAAGCTTTTCCTGAGATGCTCCAGCTATAGCCCAACCCTACTTAGGTGGATAGGAGTTCCTATCACAGGGCTTTCCAACAGAGATCCTTAGCCAGAATGAGATAAACATGTCCACTAAGACAAGGCAGTACTACTTTTCTTTCCTTTTCCTTGCTTCCAAAAACCCCCAAAGCACCAACCCCCTCCTTTCCTCTGGGATTTATAACATTAACCATGCTTTTCTCAAAAATCTATTTCAATCTTTAACATTTCTTTCCTAACAAAAAAACACTAACTCACAGAGACCTCCACCTCTGTTCCTGTTTTTATAGAACCAAAATAATTACTTAATAATTATATATTGATCACATATTAAGATATTTTGGATATAATGGATTAAATAATTACAAACCATTTTACTTGTTTCTTTTTATTTTTAATGTGACTACCAAGAAGTTTAAAATTCACACATGGCTAACATTTTCCTTTGTGTTTATTTTGTTGTTAAGTACAGGGGTACATGTGCAGGTTTGTTACATAGGTAAACTTGTGTCATGAGGGTTTGTTGTACAGATAATTTCATCACCAAGGTATTAAGCCTAGTACTCATTAGTTATTTTTCCTGATCCTCTCCCTCCTCCCACCCTCCAATAGACCCCAGAATGTGTTGTTCCCATGTCCATGTGTTCTCACCATTTAGCTCTCACTTATAAGAGAACATGCAGTGTTTGGTTTTCTGTTCTTGCATTAGTTTGCTAAGGATAATGGCCTCCAGCTCCACCCATGTCTTTTCAGAGGACATGATCTTATTCTTTTTTACGGCTGCATAGTATTCCATGGTGTACATATACCACATTGTCTTTATCCAGTCTATCACTGATGAACATTTAGGTTGATTTCATGTCTTCGCTATTGTGAATAGTGCAGCAATGAACATACACGTGAGTATGTGTTTATAATAGAACAATTTATATTCCTTCGGGTATATACCTAGTAATGGGATTACTGGGTCAAATATCTTTAAATATTTGAGGACTCTCTACACTCTCTTCCACAATGGTTGGACCAATTTACACTCCCACTAACAGCGTATAAGCATTCCTTTTTCTCTACAACCTCACTAGCATCTGTAATTTTTTGTCCTGATTTCAATTCTTTTCTGAACATCCATTTTTAACTAATTTACAACATATAGTAGTTTCACTAGAGTGAAATGAACATACTGATTTAAATTACTAACTTCCTGGACTTTTTTTAATTCAGAATTTTTGAAAATGAGAGTATCAGCTCTTGTTCACTGATTTTGATCTCTATTGACTAGTGGCTGAAATTTCCTCTTAAAACTAATGCTTCTAAAGTCAAGAAAACATAGTTTCCATTTTCAAAATTAGCTTCAACAAGATCATGTGAAGCAAAATGTGAAGGAAATAATTTAAAGAAAAATCAGATGAAACATTAAACTATACATCCAGTGGCGGTACTCTGCCTAAAGGAGTTTGATGTGGCAGGAACATCCTTCAGGCCTCAGAAGATGGGGAGCGGGAGGGAAGGCATTGACAAACAAGAACTAGATGAAACAGAAGTTATAGCTGATCAAGAATTTATCTTTATTCTGATTATGATTCTTCAAAGAGCATTAGTTGTTTAAATTTAATTTAAGCCATGCTTAAATCGAATACATACAAAATATGATTACTTATATTCCTTTTGACCAAAGAGCTGAAAATTTTGTGTTCCAGTTCATCTTACTCATGTTATTCTGATGCGAAACACTCTAAATGCAAATTGTTTTGAAAGTAAATAGGCCAAGTGGCCTACCCTGCCCTTTTTATAGTATAAATTCTGTGATACTGCCTTCTTTTCAGTATATGCTCCTCTGTGGGCCTTTGGCTTACACGGAGACCATCAGCTACAACGCATGGCAGTCAGCTTCAGAGTCCTCGCTCCAGTGTGCATCTCGTTTCTCAGCCACAAGTTTGATGAATTGAGAGTGACTGGCATAAAGCTTCAGTTTATCATTGATGTCCACCCATTTCACTTTTCCAGCATCATCTCCAGCTTCTAGCATAAGATTATCCATTATCTCACCTGGTTGCCAAAGAAAAACCATCACCAAGAAAAACTCATTTCTGTTTTAGCATATCTATGTCGTCAAGTATTCTTATTTAAAATAATCTTATATCATCATTGTACTAGCCGGCCAAGTGAATTAAAAACTAGACCATTCCATCCCTGGTCAGCAGAATGAATAAAAGAAAAAAAACTAGAGTATTCCAAAATGTCCAAATTTTAACCAAGTCCCTAAATTTTAGATAAACACAAAGAGTTTTCTCTAAAAAGATTATCCTTAAAAACGAGATTATATTACATGAATATGAAACCTTACATCAAAATCAGTCCAAGAGGGATGAGAGATTTAAATGTAAAAAAATAAACAAAGCTGAGGCGGGTAGATCACCTGAGGTCAGGAGTTCGAGACCAGCCTGGCCAACATGGTGAAACCCCATCTCTACTAAAAATACAAAAATTAGCCAGGAGTGGTGGCACATGCCTGCAGTCCCAGCTTACTTGGGAGGCTGAGGCAAGAGAATTGTCTGAATCCATGAGGTGGAGGTTGCAGTGAGCCAAGATCACACCACTGCACTCCAGCCTGGCAACAGGGTGAGACTCCACCTCAAAAAAAAAAAAAAAAAATTTAAATTATCAAAAAAATAAAAAATAAGTGCTCCCAATCACTGCTGGGAATATAAATGGAATATTTCTGTAGGAAATTTGGCAATGTTTATCAAGAGCTTTTAAAAAGTAAGTTTTCTTTGACAAGCACTCATTCTGTAAATATCAGAGTGCATCTTGTGTGCCAGACTGTACTAGGCACTGAAGATACAATAAGCAATCCAGTAATTCCTCTTTGAAGAATTTATTCTGATGAAATAGAGACAAGCCTATTAAAGTATTCAAGGCAACATTACTTAAATATTTTATTTTATTTTATTTATTTTTAGATGGAGTCTCGCTGTTGTTGACCAGGCTGAAGTGCAGTGGCACAATCACGGCTCACTGCAACCTCCGCGTCCTGAGTACAAGCGATTCTCCTGCCTCAGCCCCCCGAGTACCTGGGATTACAGGCATCTGCCACCACGCCCAGCTAATTTTTTTGTATTCTTAGTAGAGACCACACTGCCATACCAAAAACTGGAGAGACAGGCAAATACAGAGAATCACAACTGACCAGGGAGAGAAGCCTACCGCTGGAGTCAGCACCTGGTAGGAACACTTAAAGGGTAACTAACTGCTGAAAGCTGACCTTTGGACTAGCTTGAAAGATAAAATCTCCTAGGGGGTCAGCCATACCAGTATGAAGAGGGGGCCTACATTTTAGTGAGCTTTACCTCCAAGAAAGCCACCAGGTGAAGACTGGAGAAAAATCCTCTCTCCTTTCTAACATGGAGAGGGGAAAGGTAACCAATTTCAAATACACCCAGATCACTCTGCCCTCAAGGAAAACTATTTTACCAAGCCCTAAGCAACCTGAGGGAAAGGAAATACCCAACTCCAGCCCCCGCTGGATTTCCTGTCTTTCCTAAGGATTGGGGAGGAAGGAGGGAAGCTGAGAATAACATATGAAGGGTCACAGCCCAGGGCCACAGGCTCACTAAAAGACTGACATCTAACCATATATTCTCCTATGATTCCCCTTCCTCTAGAATTTACCACCATATCTATCAATAGGACTCCTGTTTAATAAAAGGGGAAGACAGCTGAAAGAAGGGCATGCTTCAGACCTCATTTAATAAGTCTCCAGGGAAACCCAAAACTAGAGGAAATTTTAGCCTCTGACACATACAATGACAGCAAACAAAAAACACAGCCTAACTCCTAGCCAGATAAACATAAAACCTCACGCTAAAGAACTATTTGCCTTAGTTCCCTTACAAGTTATATCATGGTCAATTTTCAAAAAAGCACTACAGCCAGGCGCAGTGGCTCATGACTGTAATCCCAGCACTTTGGGAGGCCAAGGTGGGTGGATTACCTGAAGTAAGGAGTTTGAGACCAGCCTGGCCAACATGGTGAAACCCCATCTCTACTAAAAATACAAAAATTAGCCAGGCATGGTGGTGCATGCCTGTAGTACCAGCTACTTGAGAGTCTGAGGCAGGAGAATCGCCTGAACCCGAGAGGCAGAGGTTGCAGTGAGCCATTATCATGCCACTGCACTCCAGCGTGGGTGACAGAGCAAGACTCCATCTCGGGGTTAAAAAAAAAAAAAAAGAAAAAAGAAAAAAAAGCACTAAAAGCACGCTAAAAGGCAAAAAACATAGCCTAAAGAAACAAAGCAAATATTAAAACCGAACTCAAATATGGCAGAGATTTTGGAATTATCAAAACAAAATTTTTTAAGTTTAAAGAGAGAAAAAGATAGGGTAAAAACAGTGAACAATCCATAAACTCTATAATCAACTTCTGGAGGATCAGTCATTGTTTTTAACTCCAAAACTTTAAAGTAGTTAACAAATTTATCAGTACTAAAGTTGTACAGACCTGCTTCTAATTTACATCTGCATATTTCTTCTAAGTTTTCATACTAGGATAAACTCTTCTAATACACCTTAGTGGAAATACAGGAATAGAAAATGGTCCCAGGAGTTTCCTCCAAGTTCAACAAGCAAAAGCACAGGATATGGAAATGACAGATCTAGTTCTAGCCCATTTTGTAAGTGAAAAAACTGAGTCCAAGAGGACAAATGATTTGTACAAGGTTACACAGCTCAGAAAGAACTATGAGTGGAACATTCATTTCATTTCTCTAGCATGGTGCCCCCACTTTTATGCTACAAATAAAAACAAATCAAATTTAGCAATAAAATATGTTTCAAGGGAGCCATTCAATGTGTACATTAAGACCAAATTAATTTTTAAGACAGCAGATTTTTCCTTTCTCCTTCTGTAATAACAGGTTTGACCCTCCTCATAAAATTTTAAATTCCATACACCAGAAACAGCATTCATTTAAAATTTTTTCAGTACTTGGAATTTTTTGTTATTGCTTTGTGTATTAACAATCCAAGATTATTATAAAAATATTTGAAATAGTAAGATATAAATCCCATTTCCTTTATCATTGCCATACTTCCTACCCAAATCCCAGTTGCTTTTGTTTTGCAAAAAAAGGGAACTATACTCAATAAATAATCTGACATCTTTAAAGCATATCATTTTAGCCCATAATTTCATCCTTAATTTCAAATGTTACCAATGGATTAAAGAAAATTTAGTCACTGGTGATAAAAGTTTTGAAGATTTCTTCTATGTATTCCTTTAATACCAACAATTTTGCTTTCATATAACTACAGTCCTACAATCAACAGTTAATTGGTTTAAGATGCTAAATAGTCCAGATTTAATCATGCCTTAGTGGGCTAATGGCTTAAATTGATCCTTTAATCCCAGCCAGTTTAATAAATATAAAGTTACCTGTTTCGTCATGGTAGTTCACAGCTTCTGTCTCCATCCATGCATTATCAGTGTTTCGAGGATCATCAACATATCCCTTATATATCTATTTTCAAAAGAAGACAAATTTTTTAAAAGTCCAAGGTGTAGTGAGTACAGCAGAGCATGTTACCTTCACTAGCATCAGAAATGTAAATATCCTGTTGCCCAACAACATGAACATACTTAATGCTACTGAGCTGTACCTTCAACAGTTTAGATGGTAAATTTGACATTATGTGTTTCTATCAAAATTTTTTTAAAGAAATGTAAATAGCCGGGCGCGGTGGCTCACGCCTGTAATCGCAGCACTTTGGGAGGCTGAGGCGGGTGGATCACCTGAGGTCAGGAGTTCGAGACCAGCCTGACCAACAAGGTGAAACCCTGTCTCTACTAAAAATACAAAAAAAATTAGCCATGCATGGTGGTAGGTGCCTGTAGTCCCGGCTACTCGGGAGGCTAAGACAGGAGAAATTACTTGAACCCAGGAGGTGGAGGTAGCAGTGAGCCAAGATCGCGCCACTGCACTCCAGCCTGGGCAACACAGCGAGACTCTGTCTCAAAAAAAAAAAAAAAGAAAGAAAGAAAGAAAAAAAGAAAGAAATGTAAATATCATAAAACTTTTAATGTAGTACTTCATGTGCTTGTTTCAAATTTCCCAAAGAACAATATTCTCTTTTGAGGCAGCTTTAAAAATCATGAAACCCTCAGGCCAGGCGTGGTGGCTCATGCCTGTAATACCAGCACTTTGGGAGGCGGAGGTGGGCGGATCATGAGGTCAAGAGATCAAGACCATCCTGGCCAACATGGTGAAACCTCGTCTCTACTAAAAACACAAAAATTAGCTGGGCATGGTGGAGAACACCTGTAGTCCCAGCTACTCAGGAGGCTGAGGCAGGAGAATCGCATGAACCCGTGAGGCAGAGGTTGCAGTGAGCCGAGATCGCATCACTGCACTCCAGCCTGGTGACAGAGCCAGACACTGTCTCAAAACAAATAAATAAATCATGAAACCCTCAACACTTCAAACTCTAATTTCAGAATCTGAGAACAGTCAAATTTGGGCAATATGATTTTTTAAGAGTCCATCACTTAAGTATTTTTCTGTGATTATAGTTTCTGAAATACAAAGGTAGATTCTTCTAGTTAAACAAAGGAGATCTATAAATAAAACTAAAGATTACTACTTAAGCTATTAATATATGAAGATATTTGGATCTATTCATCTAGCACAAACGTAACTCAAAAAAATCTGGACAACATAAATAACTAAATCCCAATTCTGAAAAGAAAACAAGCAATCCAAATAAAAACTGACCAAAAAAAGGCCGGGTGCGGTGGCTCACGCCTGTAATCCCAGGACTTTGGGAGGCCGAGGCAGGCGGATCACCTGAGGTCAAGAGTTCAAGACCTGCCTGGCCAACATGGTGAAACCCCGTCACTACTAAAAATACAAAAATTAGTCAGGCATGGTGGCACATGCTTGTAATCCCAGCTACTCTGGAGGCTGAGGCAGGAGAATCACTTGAACCTGGGAGGCAGAGGTTGCAGTGAGCCGAGATCGCGCCATTGCACTCCAGCCTGGGGACAAGAGCGAGACTTCATCTCAAAAAAAAAAAAAAAAAAAACTCTGTTATTTTCTTATTATTAGTGTGCATATACCTTGTAAGGTATTTTTTTAAAAGCACGGAATGCCAGGCTCACACCTGTAATCCTAGCACTTTGGGAGGTCGAGGTGGGGGGATCCTTCAGCCCAGGAGTTCAAGACCAGCCTGGACAACATGGTAAAACCCCATCTCTATAAAACAAAAAACAAAAAATTAGCCCAGTGCGGTGGTGTTTGCCTGTGGTCCCAGCTACCCAGAAGACTGACGTGGGAGGATCACAGGAGCCCAAGAGGTCAAAACTGCAGTGAGCCATAACACCACTGCACTCCAGCCTGAACAACAGAGCAAGACCCTATCACAGAGGGTATATGGACAAAACAGACATGAGACTTAAATGATTATCAACCAGAAAAATCTCTGTATGACATAATTTAAAATGTAAATGTTCTTTCAGAGAGAGCTGAATTCATGCACATACAAAAAGCTTTCTGTTGGATGGGTACTCAACGTGAAAGAAAATAGTTTACAGGCCAGGCGTGTTGGCTTACACCTGTAATCCCAGCACTTTGGGAGGCCGAGGCGGGCAGGTAACCTGAAGTCAGGAGTTCAAGGCCAGCCTGGCCAACATGGTGAAACCCTGTCTCTACTAAAAATACAAAAATTAGCCGGGCGTGGTGGTGGAAGCCTGTAATCCCAGCTACTCCAGAGGCTGAGGCAGGAGAATTGCTTGAACCTGGGAGGTGAAGGTTGCAGTAAGCCAAGATCGTGCCACTGCACTCCAGCCTGGGTGACAGAGCGAGACTCCATCTCAAAAAAAAAAGAAAGAAAAACTAAGAAGAAAAAAGTTATTATAATAAATGATATAAATGAACTAAATATATATCATTTTAGCCTATATAGCCTAAAGTTGGGCTATAAAACTTTAAATAGAAACCTATTTACAGTGAAGATCTGTAATTTGTTTTTGTGAATATATTTTAAATATACAAGTATTCCACTTTATTTAGAGAAGGACATACAGATTTCCAGGTCAACTTTTAAGTCATTTTCATCAATCCACAGAACTAAATCCCTCCCAGAAACACTATTTCTTACCACTAGGTGGTCTTGGCTGAAGAGTTTGTGCAACTTTTCCTCTATTTCTCTCTTCTCAGCACTGGTTTTCTGTAAGGAGTTGAGAGCTTCCTCACCAAATTCTCTTTTCAGTGTGGCACTAATCTTCTCTCCTGGATCCACCATCCCCTAAGAGTCACATTAAAAATTTTGAAAAAAGGGATCAGCTTTGATTTGTTCAACAAATATTTATTGAGTAGTAGAGTGAACATTTATTATTCAATCTGCCTATAATAGTGATCCCCATTTCTCTGTGATACACTGTTCTCTAAACCATCTGTTGCTAGTAGAAGGAGCCAATAAGGATACCTCATGTATTTGGCCACAGTGATTGGTCCAAGGTTAGCCTATGGCAATCAAACCAATTTCCTGGTACTTGCCAAACTCGAACTAAGGAAAAAGGACTGGAGGTTAGAAATAACACAGCACATTGATTCTTCCCCCATTGTTCATTCCATTCCAGCCACACTGACCTCCTCAATGTTCCCAGGACCTGCCTAACATGCTGCCCGCTGAGAGCCTTTGTACCTGCTATTATCTCTATCCAAGATGCTTTTCTCTAGATATCTGCATGGTTCACTAATTCATTTCCTTCAGATAGTTACCTAACATGCACCTCCTCAGGGAGGTCTTCTCTTAACTGCCCTGTCTAAAATCGCAAACTCTCAAACACTTCCTAGTCCTCTACCTTGCTTTTGTTTCTTAATACTTACTGCCTTCTAACATGCGATATATTTAACTTATGTATCTTATATTATCTGTCTCTCCAACTGGAATGGGAGCACCAAAAGACAGAGGTTATTTGTTCATGTTGCTCTGTTGTATTCTCAGTGTCTAAAATATTAGCTGACAAAAGGAAGATACTAAAAATACACTGATTAGATGAATAACTGTCAAAATGATAACAATGACAGCAGTTTCCTGATAAGAATTTTAAATAACAATAAAAATGCAAGATTCTATGATGAAATCATTATTACGTTATTGCTTTCAACCTAAGTGAAGTTTGACTATTTGGCTCATAGAAATTAGCCTAAAGTTCACCAAGCACAGTGGCTCATGCCTGTAATCCCAGCACTTTGGGAGGTCAGGGTGGGTGGATCACGAGGTCAGGAGTTCAAGACCAGCCTGGCCAAGATGGTGAAACCCTGTCTCTACTAAAAATACAAAAATTAGCTAGGTGTGGTGGTGGTCGCCTATAATCCCAGCTACTCGGGAGGCTGAGGCAGGGAATTGCTTGAACCCAGGAGGTGGAGGCTGCAGTAAGCTGAGATCATGCCATTGCACTCCAGCCGGGCAACAGAGTGAGACTCCGTCTCAAAAAAAAAAAAAAAAAAAAGAAAAAGAAAAAGAAATTAGCCTAAACTTTTATCAGAGTCGGCTGAGATCCTTATTTCCACTCATTTTTATTCTACACAGAAAAAAACATTCTTGCAGACAACTGTATGTTTTTATAAAGAGTCATCCTCATATCAAACTATCTCCATTTCACAATATGGTATAAAATATAAAACCCTCTACCACACACATAAACATTTTAAACGGCCACTTCAGGCCAGGTGTGGTGGCTCACACCTGTAATCCCAGCACTTTGGGAGGCCCCGGGGCAGGCAGATTGCTTGAGGCCAGGAGTTCGAGACCAGCCTGGCCAACGCAGTGAAACCTGTCTCTACTAAAATTACAAAAATTAGCCAGGCATAGCGGCACACACTTGTAATCCCAGCTACGTTGGGAGACTGAGGCACAAGAATTGCATGAACCCAGGAGGCAAAGGTTGCAATGAGCCAAGATTGCGCCAATGCACTCCAGCCTGGGCAACAGAGTGAGACTCTGTCTCAAAATAAATAAATAAATAAAAAATAAAAAATAAATGGCCACTTCAAATATACCACTGCCATAAATTCAAACTACAAGCCAACAAAAGTATACTCATCTTGATAACATTATAGAAATTATTTAAACTACACAGAACAGTAAATAACAAAAGCTAATTTTTTAAATATTGTCAAAAGTTATCAGAATTCAACCAAAAAGTGCTTAAAAATACTACCTTGGGCTTGGAGTGGAGGTTAAATTCTGAAATGGGACCCAACATAATGAATGCCTATTAAATGTGATCTCTAATAATCCTGTGAAGTAGATCTCTTTATTTTAAAGATGAGGGCCTGAACTCCCAATCACCCAGCTGCAAGTAGAACGGCCAGAACACAGACCTACATCTAACTTCAAAGCCCACGTTATTTCCCAAAGGTGTCAGAATTACACGCAGATTCTAACAGTCTTGGATTATCCTAAACTTGTTGCTGACAATGACACTTCATGCAGGGATGAAAAACATAAGAATTACTAAATGAAGTGGGAAGGAATAGAGGAAAATGGAATAGAAAAGATTCACAAACAATAACCCTGTAGTAAGTAAAGCAACTAAAAGGAACTTAAACACTAATTTAATTTTAATGCTTACCCCTGGGATTGCCCATTCTCCACAGTCTTTCCTTTTTATTGCAACAAATTGTAAGATATGCTTCCCAGAAACAGGATGCATGATTTTATTTCCACTGCTATCCCTTTTCCATCTGTGAATAGTAATATAAAATCATAACGGATTTACAACAAAAACTAAGGTTCTATCTCAAACTTGAGATAAAGTTACAAGGACTTTTTCTTTAAAGCAGAGTATATATAAATTTATCTCAAATCAGCTAGTTTTATTTAAAACTATTGATTTTTACTGGAAATATTCTATATTCATCACTGTTACAAACCAGGACAAATGTCTACATTACATAAAAGACACTACATTATCTGTAATGAAAATTCAGGATATAAACAATTTTTACTACTTAAAGTATTAACAAAAAAAGAAGTAGCAGAATAGAATTTAAAGAAAAGGTTATCAAAGTTTTTTAAAAAATAAGTTTACGAATCCCCTTTTAAAAATTACTGGTAGTTGCCAGGCGCAGTGTCTCGCACTTGTAATCCCAACACTTTGGGAGAATTGCTTGAGCTCAGGAGTTCAAGACCAGGATGGGCAACAACGGAAGACCTCATCTCTACAAAAAATAAAAAATTAGCTGGGTGCAGTGGCATGCACCTATAGTCCTAGCTACTTGGGAGACTGAGGCAGAAGGGTCACTGTACCCAGGAGTTTAAGGTTGCACTGAGATAAGATGGTGCCACTACACTCCAGCTTGGGCGACAGAGAGAGGGCCTATCTAAAAATAAGAAAAAAAAAATTACTGGTAGTGAAAAAGGCATGGTAAGATTTGCTTTGGGCCAGGCGTGGTGACTCACACCTGAAATCCCAGCACTTTGGGAGGCCAAGGTGGGTGGATCACCTGAGGTCAGCAGTTCAAGACCAGCCTGGCCAACATGGTGAAGCCCTGTTTCTACAAAAATACAAAAATTAGCTAGGCATGATGATGGGTGCCTGTAGTCCTAGCTACTCAGGAGGCTGAGGCAGGAGAATCACTTGAACCCAGGAGGCAGAGGCTGCAGTGAGCAAAGATCGTGCCATTACACTCCAGCCTGGATGACAGAGTGAGACTCCATCTCAAAAAAAAAAAAAAAAAAAAAAAATTTGCTTTTAACAGTTCACCCTGTGCTAAGAGAAAAGCAGATTATATGACCCAGTTTAGCTGGTGTCAAAAGCAGTACTTCTCAATCTTTTTTTTTTTTTTTTTAAAAAGACAGGGTCTTGCTCTGTCACCAAGGCTAGAGTACAGTGGTGCAATCATAGTTCACTGTAACCTTAAACTCCTGGGCTCAAGCAATCCTCCTGTCTCAGCCTCCTGTGTAGCTAGGACTACAGGCGTGGGCCACCATGCCCAGCTAATTTTTTTTGTTTTACAAATGGGGTCTCCTGCTATGTTACCCAGCTGGTCTTGAACTCCTGGCCTCAAGCCATCCTCCCACCTCGGCATCCCAAAGTGCTGCAATTACAGGTGTAAGCCACCCGGCCCTGCTTCTCAATCTTTATGCCCTCTGATTTGATAAACAAAAAAAACTCTATCCTTTTATTTTATATTTTAAATTGAATTGCTTATGGGTTTTGTAGAAAGTATCAAGGCAATGTTAGTTTCAGAATACACTTTTTCTAACCACACTCTCTTTGCCAGAGATGTTGATATTAATAAATCTCCCCTTCCCCTTCCTCACCTCCATATCAACCTCTAGCCCAATTTTAGGAATTGTCCTAATGATCTCTCAGGCAAAACAAAACAAAACAAAAAAAAAAAAAACTTCCAATGCTAAACCAAAAAAGAAGGTCTATGATATAAGTATTACTCTGGATGAAACCCAATAAAATATTAGTATGCATATGAGTTTCCAAATTTCCTTATATAGTAGCTGACTACCATATCTACCATATCTAGTTCCTCCCATGAAAGAGCTCATAGTCTAGCAGTGGCTCTAAATTAGCAGAAGGGTGATAGTTTGATGAGTATATTAAACAGAAATGAAATAATAATTAGTACAAGAGGGCACATCTGTTTTTAAAATGCCAGAAAGGGGAATACATAAGCAAGAAACAAAGTCATAAAATAAAATAATGTGTTCAAGAAACTGAATGTTCATATGGGGTCTAGCACCATGGGCATCAGTGAGGGAAAAGATAGACCAGAAAAGTGGGCAACAGGCTTATACGACAAGATTCATCTAATTCGTTTACTTAGAGAGCCAGAGAGTGTTTTTAAGCAGGGTAAAACCATAACCAGTTTGTATTTTAGAAAGCTCACTCACTTTGACAAAAGCATGTATGTTGGTCTGGAGGAAAGCAAGACTGGACTCAAGAAGATCAGCTGGGAGGCTACTACTATGATCCAGGTAAAAGATGATGACAGGACAGAAGACAGTATGGATTTTATTTTTATTTTCTAAAAGCCATTTAGATAGCATTTATTATATATATATAAAACACTGTTCTAAGTGCTTTAATGTATTTATCCATTTAAGCCTCAAAACAACCCTATAACATAGTTGTTTTATTATCTTTATTTTACAGATATGGAAAATGAGGCACAGAAAAGTTAGGTAACTTCCCCAAGACTACAGTGTTAACAAGGGCGTAAACACAACTTTGAACCTGGACAATCTGGTTCCAGAATCTGTGTTCTTAATTACTATACTATCTACTTAAACTGAACAAGCAGAATGTTTACACTAATTAGATAAGAGGAAAGACGGCCAGGAGCAGTGGCCCACGCCTGTAATCCCAGCACTTTGAGAGGCCGAGGCAGGCAGATCACGAAGTCAAGAGATCAAGACCATCCTGGCCAACATGGTGAAACCCTGTCTCTACTAAATACAAAAAATTAGCTGGGCGGGGTGGTGTGCACCTATAGTCCCAGCTACTTGGGAGGCTGAAGCAGGAGAATCACTTGGAGGTTGCAGTGAGCCGAGATAGCACCACTACACTCCAGCCTGGGCGACAGAGCTAGAATCTGTCTTAAAAAAAAAAAAAAAAAAAGGAAAGATAAGAAGGCAAATGGTGGCTATGTTCACTCATAAACATTTACTGGCACCTACTACACATCACATGCAAGGAGCTGGGAAAACAAAGACTCAATACAGCTACTGCTCTTCAGCCAGCCAGTTGTGACTATGAAACAAGGATGAGAAACAGAATAGAGAGAGATGCTGGCCACTGGCCAGGTGTAGTGTGGTGGCTCCTGCCTGTAATCTTAGCACTTTGGGAAGCCGAGGTGGGAGGACTGCTTGAGATCAGGAGTTCAAGACCAGCCAGGGTAACATAGCAAGACCCATCTCAAAAAAAAAAAAAAAGAGAGAGATGCTACTGGGGAGAAGGCAGGATCAGAGAGATGATCAGCAGCTTGCATATGTTCTCAGATTTTATTCTGAAGGACAAATGTATGGATTTTAAGCAGAGTAGCTTCTTGCTATATTATTTATTAGTATTAAATACATTATCACCAATTTTAAAACAAAATTTCTTGATCTAACAGAACTAATACATCATTTTAATTGACGAACCTAATAAACATTTACTGAATATCAGTAATATTTCTATGCCCTATTGCTATTCCCTCCCCAGTTCTAACAGTATGTACCTTCCTGTCTTTAACCAAAAGTGAACAGAAAATGAAATTGTCATCAATTGTTTGACCTGAATTTATTCACAATAATATATTAACACTTCCCAACTCATTTTGACTCTAGAGGATCTGAAGAAACTTTTGATAATTGTACCTGGACAATCTCTAGGAGAGATGCCTGGGAATCCGAAAATTTAACACCTGCCCCGGAGCTTCTGAAAAAGTTTATGAAATCCTGAACAACGCTGTTTTGAATCATGAAGTGCATACTTGAAAGAAAGGGGGGTGAAATCTTGGCTCTGAAAGTGCCTGGGTGATTCTCCAGTAGAATGAATATACTCTAAAACAATGATAAAAAGTACAGTATAGTAAAGACTCACTAGTGGTGTAACAGAAAAAGTACAGTATTTAAAGCCACTTACCCCTGATTCAGATGTCAGATCTACAACATTTAGGCAAGTAACTTAACCCCAGTGAGTCTCTATTTTCAAATCCTCAAAATAGATATATCAATACCTACTTGGAGGGGCTTCTGTGAAAAACAAATAGAAAAACTAATGATAGCACTGACAGGATGCCTGGAATAGACTAGTCTAAAAGTAGAATACTTTTAACAATTCATCTAAGGCTTGAATCTTCCTTCAACATCTTTCATTCTTCTCTGTTCCATTTCTGCTGCCTCTCATCTATTTAGAGGAACTCATCAATTTATTAATTAATGCATTACTATTAATTATTAATTAATGCATTATTGAGATAACAAAGAACATCAACTTAAGAGTACAGTTGAAAGCCAGACTCTGCCACCTGTGGGCTCTCTTATAGCCTCGGACCATCTCTAAGCCTTCAGTTCTCTTATCTGTATGACAAAGTTAAGCTAAAAAAGTCTACCATTTCAAAACAACTTGATACACAATCACCATGTATACTCCCAGCCACTATTGGGTCCACCATAGATAAAGATAAGCTAACTAGATTCTAACCTTCAAAACTCTGGCTTCCCTTTTCTGCTCTTGTCCCCTTACTAGCATTACATTCCTGTTTCAAACATTTCATACCTTCCTGTTTTTAGCCAGCTTCACCAAAATCAGAAACTAACACTGCCATTAATATTTTTTTTATTAACTCTTTCCATCTCATTTAAACCATAGAGGTTCTAACAGTATGTGGATGGAGAGGTAGGCTGATCAGTAGTTAAGTAAGTAGGTAGGTGAATGGGTGAGTAAGTGGATGGATGGATGGAGGGAAGATAAAATTTGGGGTTGGGTAAAGATCCTTTTTGGCAGGAGAATCAAGAGGGCAAGTAAGAAAATAAGACCGGGTGAGAATGGGTGCCTCTTCCAGTAACTTGAAAATAAAAAAATATATAAAGAGTTAAACTATCAAATTATTATTATATCTCAGATCAAAGAAAAACAGAGTCTCCTTGAAGAAAAGCCCCCAAAATATCAAAACTAAGAAAGTAACAATATGAGGATATTTGCATTATTTAAAGAAAGAACATGACAATTCCACGTGGGGAGACAGATGGTCAGCAAAGAAATTCTAAAAGTAAAAAAATAAAAATTAAAAGGATGACAAATATGACAATATTTCAGGTACATTAGAAAGATGATTCCTGTGGAGATAGCTAAGCATATCTAAACATTAGATTCACTGACCTTCTTAATTCTGATTCATGCTCATCAAGAGACTTGAATATGATTTGGCTTACCACATAGGTCTGCCTCGGAAGAGAATGCCTCTCCCCCGTTCTGAAACCTTCAATGGCTCCAGTCCATACTCCTAACTTTGGCATTTAAAATTCTCCACAATAAAACTGCACAAAAATTAACTTTAAGTTTCATTTTTCGCCCACTACTCTTCTACAAGAATATTCTGTTTCAACCAAGCTGGTCTCTACTCAGATATTACTACAAACCCTTTTCTTAGGCTTCCTGCTGTCTCCCTACCCAAGGTTCAAGTTCAGCTCAAATCTACCTGCTTTATAAAGCCTTTCTTGGGTGCACTAGTTTACCACAGTCATGACCCACATCCAATCTTCTAATCTTCTAAAGCATCCTGAATCACCCATATTATTTGATCACATTTAACATGTTTTCTTACTTCACATTTTCCATCTTGCAACTAAAGCCATTGCTCTTCAGTGACAGAGAACCAGCTTAGGATTCTTAGAATTTTTTATATTTACCAAAGTGCCTACTCAATGCTGAGAACAAATAGATGTTCAATAAATAGATGCATAAATAGAATTTACCTTCTTTATATAATGCCTAACCTACTCATATAAGTACAGCTTTATACTTACATCGCATCACTATGATTTTATATAAAGTCTCTTTAAAATATCAATTATATATACATCTGCATGCATATTTATGTAATATACATGTGCAGGCATGTGTGTGTGTGTATAGTCGTGCCACATAATGATGTTTTGGTCAATAACAGACCACATATGCAACGGTGGTCCCATAAGATTACAATGGAGCTGAAACATTCCTATCACCTAATGATGTCATAAGCCATTGTCAATATCCTCACCCAATGCATTACTCACATGCTTGTGGTGATGCTGACGTAAACAAACCTACTGCACTGCCAGTCATAAGAGTACAATCACATACAGTATATAATACTTGATAATAAGTGACTATGTTACTGGCTTATGTATTTACTATACTGTACTTTTTATCATTATTTTAGAGTATATTCCTTCTACTTATAAAAAAAGTTAACTGTAAAACAGCCTCAGGCAGGTCATTCAGGAGATATTCAAGAGGAAGGCGTTATTATCATAGGAGATGACAGCTCCATGCATATTACTGCCCCTGACAACTTTCCAGTGGGACAAGATGTGGAGGTGGAAAACAGTGATATTGATGATCCTGACCTTGTATAGCCATAGGCTAATGTGTGTGTTTGTGTCTTAGTTTTTAACAAACAGTTTAAAAACAAACAGAAGAAACAACTTTTTTTAAATTAAAAAAAGTGCACAGAATAAGGAGGTAACAAAAGAAACTATTTTTGTACAGTTGCATGATGTGTTTTAAGCTGTTACTATAAAAAAGCCAAAAAGGTTTTAAAAATGTTTAAGTTTATAAAGAAGTTACAGTAAGTTAAGGTCAATTTATTATTAACAAAATGAAAATATTTTTTATAAATTTGGTGTAGCCTAAGTATGCAGTGTTTATAAACTCTACAATAGGGGACAGTAATGTCTTAGGCTTTCATGTTCACTCACCACTCACTGACTCACCCAGATCAACTTCCAGTCCTATAAGCTCCATTCAGGGTAAGTGCCCAAAACAGGTGTATGGTTTTTTATCTTTTATATCGTGTTTTTACCTACTTTCCCTATGTTTAGATATACATACACTTACAATTGTGTTACAGTTGCCTATAGTATTCAGTACAGTAACATGCTGTACAGGCTTGTAGCCTAAGAGCAATAGGCTATAGCATATGGCATAGGTGTATACTACTTATACAATTGCACCTACACAATCTAGTTTTATGTAAATATACTCTATGATGTTCACACAACAACAAAATCACCTAATAATGCATTTCTCAGAACGTGTCCTCATTGTTAAGCAATGCATGACTGTATACATACATATATATACAAACACATACATATGTATATACACACAGGTATACATATATACACAAACATAGCTACAGTCTGCAATTTTTCTATCACTTAGCTCTTTGCTACTGATATGCTTTTTATTGGTTCTTACCTGGTTATAATGGGATCTGCAGCGTGATTTGGGCCCCATCGCCCCAAAAGCCCCCGGCCCACCAGTCCAGTCCGTCCTGCAGGATTTCTGGAAAAACAAAAAAAGCATAAAATCAATTGAATGTGTTCATCTTTTTAACCTGATTTGATATAACCCAAAAGAAGAGAACATAAGCAGTAAGACAGAATAAGTCCTTACAAATCCAATGGAACTATCACATATCTGGTGCTGAAGTCATGTATTTCATGACACTGCTATTTAATTTTTCTTTTGCGCATGTGATATGCTTTAAACTTGATCCAGAAAGAGGCTCTCATACCCCAAGTGGTTCTACAATGTGATGATTTGTTTCAGTTTTCACCTATACTCCTAAATTCAAACTGGAACGTTCCTGGTTTCTTCTGGAACACCTAGATCTCTCTTCACTTTCTCATTATTCTCATTTCCTACTCTACTCTCCTACAACCCTTCCTATTAAAATTGTCCCTGTTACATTAAATCCCTTTTTCCTCAATGGTTTCTGGATTTTTATTATCAATAATATATATTTGTAGCATATGATAAGGTATTAGTATTACTATTTCATAGATTTCAAGTAGACTAAAATACAATTTTATAAAAATGCCAACTATTTAACCTGATGCCACAATCCAGTGTTAAAAATTTGTCAGAGAAACCTATCAATACTCATGCCTGTGTCATTTTATTTCAGTAAACATTCTTTAAATGTTCAACTTTCATTATGTACTACTAAAATGTTCTAACATGTAATTCTACTTCATGGTGCTGTATCTCTTGCCCTCCCACTATATGAAAGTAAATAAACAACTTGCCAAAATTTCCCTTTTTGCCATCTCTTTTTATTCTTTTTTCCCAGTGACTGTTATTAAAATTGAATGAATTTTTATATTGTTTTTGTACTAGACTCAGAAATATTTCAGCAAGACTTGCAAATAGCAACAGAAAGAAGAGACAAGACACCTGCCCAGCTGACAATAATTCTTTCCAAATTCACAGGAGGAGGGGCAGAGTGGCCAGCAACCATATATATATATACATATTTTTTTTTTGAGACAGAGTCTCACTCTGTCACCCACGCTGGAGTGCGGTGGCATGATCTCAGCTCACTGCAACCTCCGTCTCCCGGGTTCAAGCAATTCTCCTGCCTCAGCCTCCTGAGTAGCTGGGATTACAGGCATGCACCACCACGCCCAGCTAATTTTCGCATTTTTAGTAGAGACAGGGTTTCACCATGTTGGTCAGGCTGGTCTCAAACTCCTGACCTCACGATCCACCCGCCTCAGCCTCCCAAAGTGCTGGGATTACAGGCGTGAGCCACCATGCCCGGCCTGCAACCATATTTTATTCCATGTAACCACACACCCCTGAACACAAGTGATCAAGGCCACCATAAAGAGACAGATTAGTTTGTATAGATGACCAAGACCATAACTTGGAAACAGGAAACTGGAATGGACACACAGACTATATTAAAACCTGAAAAGCACAGATGGTTATTCGCAAAGAGAGAGTAATAAGCCAAAAATATAGACAAAAGCATAAATGAAGCAGAGAGAGAGTCCTGATGGATTTCGAATTCCATCTTTTCCTCAAGTTAGCTGCATTTTTGCTTTGAGCTCCTTGAGACATTCCTATAGCATAGCCTTAAAATAAATTTTACTTTTGCTCAGGCAAGCTAAAGTTAGTTTCTATTAGTCAAAGAGACTTCATTAAAAGAACAATCTATCTTGCATTTCCATCTATATATCTTACCTATCTTTTCATAATATTTTTATAATTGTATCTATAAAAGAACCTAAGGAATCAGTCAAATGCAAGGAGAATTTGACTTAAAAAGACTCAATAACATAGAAAGGTGAATAAGTTATGACCAAAGAAAGAACTTAGCAAAACTGAAGGACCAGGTTGAGATGAGAGGAGTACTACCATTTCCTTGTCTTACAGGAACCAAGAATACAAAGTGTAACATTTTTATAAGATGATAACCATGATTTCAAATCTGTGATCCTTCTTTGGTTTTATTTGGTACATGCTAATTTTTACACTTCTTTCTAACTTTTTAATATGATTTGGCTCTGTGACTCCACCCAAATCTCACCTCAAATTTTAATTCTCGAAAATTGAGGGCAGAACCTGGTGGGAGGTGACTGGATCATGGGGGACGGTTTCTCCATGCTGTTCTCATGATAGTGAGTGAGTTCTCATGAGAGCTGATGGTTTTTTTGTTGTTTGTTTTTTTGAGATGGAGTCTCACTCTGTTGCCCAGGCTGGAGTGCAGCGGCACAATCCTGGCTCACTCCAACCTCCGCCTCCTGGGTTCAAGCGATTCTCCTGCCTCAGCCTCCCGAGTAGCTGGAATTACAGGTACCCGCCACCAAGCCCAGCTAATTTTTGTATTTTTAGTAGAGACAGGGTTCTGCCATATTGGCCAGGCTGGTCTTCAACTCCTGATCTCAGGTGATCCACCCGCCTTGGCCTCCCAAAGTGCTGGGATTACAGGTGTGAGCCACTGTGCCTGGCCAATCTGATGGTTTTATAAGGGGCTCTTCCCCCTTTACTTATTCACTCTCTGTCACCTGTTGCCATGTAAGATGTACCTTTGCTTCTCTCTTGCCTTCCACCATGACAGTAGGTTTCCTGAGGCCTCCCCAGCCATGCAGAACTGTAAGTTAATTAAACTTCTTTCCCTTATACATTACCCAGTCTTGGGTATGTCTATTTTTTTTTTTGAGATGGAGTCTCGCTCTGTCGCCCAGGCTGGAGTGCAGTGGCGCAATCTCAGCCCACCGCAACCTCCGCCTCCCGGTTCAAGCAATTCTCCTCCCTCAGCCTCCCGAGTAGCTGGGATTACAGGTGCCCGCCACCACGCCTGGCTAAATTTTTTATCTTTAGTAAAGATGGGGTTTCTCCATGTTGGTCAGGCTGGTCTTAAACTCCTGACCTTAGGGGATCCGCCCACCTCAGCCTCCCAAAGTGCTGGGATTACAGGCGTGAGCCACTGCGCCCGGCCAGGTATGTCTGTATAGCACTGTGAGAACAGGCTGATACACTTTTATAATATCTTAAGGAAAATGGATAATTTTTGAGTTGTATAGGAAAATCATTTTTTAAAAAGTATAGAAAGACCCGAATTATTGGGTTATCTTTATTTTTACTCTTACATGTTTGGATAAATTCTTACTTTAAGATACTATACCATTTAATAAATATCTGCTGAACAATTTTTCTTTCTGTTAATGTATTCAATTATTTCTGTTTCCAAGATACAATTACAAAAAGATGCATTCAAACGCTGCCTCTGCCACTTACTAGCTGTATACAAATTGCTTACACTCTCTTCCCTTATCTGTAAAATTCAATTAAAAATATCCACCAACAGGGTTATTGTGCAGATTTAATTACATCACATATGTAAATAAATTTGTACAACATCTGGCACATACAAGGATTTGATAAATATGAACTATCTTTTCTACTTTTTGGTGACTCATTATTGTAAGATGCTCTGCTCCCAGTACCTACCTCGGTCTTCCATTTTCAATCTCATACAGGCCATTCTTGCTCTTTCTCTCAACATGCCCATCCTTTTCGTTAAACTTGGGAGAAAAATTACTTTCACTGTAATGAGAATACCAATGTAAAATAAGAAATAATGATTCAAAACTACCAACAGCTTAATAATGAAAGTCAATCTGTTATCCATAAGAAGTATTCCTGAAACAATAAATTTTTAAGGGTTAGTTTTTTTTTTTTTTTCACAAATCCATCTTATTCCTTCAAAACAATTTTTAAGGCAAAAAAAAGTTTTAACCAAAACACCACACATTACAAAGATATATATTATTATTAAACTTACTAACCCCTCCAGGAAGGACTACCAGCAGAAGAGCTAGAGCTCCTACCTCATGCTACAAGAAGGTCTATTAGCAAGAAGGAATTGTTTGTGGGCACAATATGAAAACTATTTGCTCCCATGTAATTCCAAAAATAAGATTCCTTCTGATGATGTTTCTACTATTTCAAAATAATTTAAATTTCTTCAAATGCACACTGATTAATATTCTTATCAGAGTAAACCCACAAAGCAGTGAATTTGCCCCACAAGCTGCATAATAAATATGATGTAAATTAAAAACAGACATACTATGCTGGAAATGTTCTAGATCTTGATCTGGGCAGTGGTTTACAGAGCTATGTAAATGTAAAATTTTGCTGAGCTGCACACCTTCACATGTAAGAAATGTGCACTTTACAGCCAGGCATGGTGGCTCACGCCTGTAATCCCAGCACTTTGGGAGGCCAAGGTGGGCAGATCACAAGGTCAGGAGATCAAGACCATCCTGGCTAACATGGTGGAACCCCATCTCTACTAAAAAAATACAAAAAATTAGCTGGGCATGGTGGTGGGCACCTGTAGCCCCAGCTACTCGGGAGGCTGAGGCAGGAGAATGGCGTGAACCCAGGAGGTGGAGCTTCCAGTGAGCCGAGATGGCGCCACTGCACTCCAGCCTGGGCGACAGAGCGAGACTCCATCTCGAAAAATAAATAAATAAAATAAAAATAAAGAAATGTGCACTTTACTATATTTGTATCATGCCACAAAAAAAATTATTTTTTCTTTCTTTCTTTTTTTTTTTTTTTTTTTGAGATGGAGTCTCGTTCTGTCACCCAGGCTGGAATGCTGTAGCATTATCTTGGTTCACTGCAACCTCTAACACCCAGATTCAAGCGACTCTCCTGCCTCAGCCTGCTGAGTAGCTGGGACTACAGGAACATGCCACTATACCCAGCTAATTTTTTATATTTTTGGTATACACAGGGTTTCATCATGTTTGCCAAGCTGGTCTCAAACTCCTGACCTCAAGTGATCCGCCTGCCTCGGCCTCCCAAAGTGCTGGGATTACAGGCGTGAGCCACTGTGCCTGGCCCAACAAAAACATTTTTAAACAGACATAACTAAACTACTCTCCTCACCACTATAAAATCCCTGCCATAATTGCACTGACAGTGAATAAAGAGTTACATAGCACTGGATAGTTCATGGGCAGTTCTGAAACAGGTTTCACTTTTTTCTTGCTTTAATTCCATTGAGTGAGCAAAGAAATATCTGTGGTCTGTTTGGGAATAATTTCCAATTTCAATGATCCATACATTTTCTTAAGACTTCTAGCCAATCTGCCATCTAACATGCAAATAAAAAGAATTAAATGATAAAAACCATGAAATTATAAAACCAGAGCTGCAATGCCCTTGGGACTCTAGAGATTCACCCTTTTAAAAAAATCACCAGGCGTGCCGGCTCATGCCTGTAATCCCAGCACTTTGAGAGGCCAAGGCAGAAGGATCACCTGAGCTCAGGAGTTCGAGACCAGACTGGATGATACAGTGAGAACTCTTCTCTGCTAAAAATTTAAAAGTTAGCCAGGCATGGTGGCACACACCTGTAGTCCCACCTGCTCAGGAGGCTGAAGTGGGAGGATCACTTGAGCCCAGGAGATCAAGGCTGCAGTGAGCTATGATCACACCACTGCACTCCACCCTGGGTTAGAAAAGGAACATAAAGGGATGGGAAAAATGGGGAGATGATGGTCAAAGGGTACAAAGTTTCAGTTATGCAAAATGAGTAAGTTCTAGAGATCTAATGCACAGTGTGGTGACTACAGTTAATAATACTGTTCTTGTCCAGCCTGGACAATACAGTGAGACCCCATCTCTACTTAAAAATAAAATAAAATTAGCCAAGTATGGTGGAACATGCCCATAGTCCTAGCTACTCAGGTGGCTGAGGCAGGAGAATCACCTGAGCCCAGGAGTTCAAGGTTGGAGCAAGCTGTGATCACATCACTGTACTCCAGCCTGGGTGACAGAGAGAGAGAGCACCAGTCTCAAAAATAGTAATAATACAGTATTGTATACTTGAAACTCGCTGAGAGTGGATCTCAACTCTTCTCACTACACACACAAAAAAGGTAACCATGTAAGATTATTTTAAATGGCTTGATTGTTGTAATCACTTCACAATGTATATGTATGTCAAAATATCACATTGTACACCTTAAATATATATAGTTACTTGTCAATCATATATCAATAAAGCTGGAAAATAAAAAAGAAACATAAACATAAAATGTTAATCAATGCGGCACTTCTATGAATTTAGTGAGAGCCCCTTCTCTCTCATTCTCCCCCTCTCACTCCCCTTTATCCAACCCTTTTCTATTTTTTCACACTGGTTTATCATCATCCTGTTCTTAGTAACCTGGAGAATTTTCCGAAAAATATTTTCACAAGTCTAGCTATGTTGGAAAATAACCACAAAGGATATTCTATTGATAACCCAAATAGAACACATGAAAACAAATACCATCAGCTGTTATTTCAAAACAAATATAACAGTACCAGCTGTTATTTCATAACACATAGCTGATGCTATTTGTTATTTCAAATCAAAACAGATTTAACTATTTGGAAGTATCCTCATAAAACCCCCAAAAGAATAAACAAATATGAACTGTTTATCTTTGGCAAGAATTCAAGCAAATGTGGAAACTGAGTTATAACACAGCTAAGCATAGATTGAAATTATTTTCAGGTGTCAAAAAGATACTTTACAAATAAAACCATTACCTTCTCTAAAAGTCTTATTCCCAGCTAACGCTGTCTTATTTGCTCACCTGATCTGAGGATCTGCCCACCTGGGTCCAGCCAAGACAGAGACTGCAGTGTATTCCACAGGCTTATAGTCTTGCCACTCAACAAGCCAGCCCACTTTCTCATTAGGAACCTGGCTTCGTTCAACTTTTGAACCTGGGTAAGGAGACGTCCGAGCCTTATTGTGAGAATTTTCTTTGGAACCATTAGAACCAGACATGACGTTGGTATTAAGATGAAACCAAGAAGATGAAAACGAGTTTCTGGGGGAGAAAAAGAAAAACATTTTACATAAATACCAAAAATATATTAATTAAAGAACCTAGGCCGGGTGCAGTGGCTTACGCCTGTAATCCCAGCACTTTGTGAGGCCGAGGTAGGTGGATCACCTGAGGTTAGGGGTTCAAGACCAGCCTGACCAACATGGTGAAATGCCGTCTCTACTAAAAATACAAAATTAGTGGCATATGCCTGTAATCCCAGCTACTTGGGAGGCTGAGGCAAGAGAATCACTTGAACCCAGAAGGCAGAGGTTGCAGTGAGACATCGCGCCATTGCACTCCAACCTGGGCAACAGGAGTGAAAACTCCATCTCAAAAAAAAAGCAAAAAAAAAAAGAACCTAATTCAAAGACCCAAAAACATACTTTCCAATTTCAAAAACCTTTAAGAATCAGAAAATTCAAATATGATGCATATTAGTCTAAAGGTCCAACATCTATGAGAGATTATTTTCAAATATACATTTTTTTAACATATAGCTAAATCTTATTAGCTGGAACCCACTCACTGAATTTATTTTAGACAAAAAAAAAAAAAAAAGGACACAAACTTACTTGTGTGTTATCTGTTGTGGAAGGGGAAGTTTGTTATGAAAACTCAAACCATAAAAACAAGTGTAGGCCAGGTGTGGTGGCTCATATCTGTAATCCCAGCACTTTGGGAGGCTAAGGAGGGCAGATCACTTGAGGTCAGGAGTTCGAGACCAGCCTGCTCAACATGGTGAAACCCTGTCTCTACTAAAAGATACAAAAATTAGCCAGGTGTGGTGAATCCCAGCTACTCGGGAGGCTGGGGCAGGAGAATTGCTTGAACCCAGGAGGCGGAGGTTGCAGTGAGCCGAGATTGTGGCACTGCACTCCAGCCTGGGCGACAGAGCGAGACTCCATCTCAAAAAATATATATACATATAAAAGAAAACTGTTTAAAGTCTACGTAAAGGAATATATTTTTTAAAAATCATCTATAGTCTAACATACACATAAAACGTATGGCAAAAATGGTTCAAAGGAAAAACAGGAAAATAGAAATTATTGAAAAATTTTTTACACTGAAAATGAACTAATGTAATATAATTTGAAGGTAGACTGTGGTAAATATACAAATTGTAACCTTTAGAGCAAAATTTAAATAAAATATACAGGCATGAAATAACTGGATAGCATATGCAAAAGAAAAACCAACTAACCTTCACCCTAACCACACAGCATATACAAAAATTTTTCATATCTCATCTTGCCTAAAAAGTTAAATGACTTCTAATTATTCTTAAAATACGAATTCTTGATGACCTTAAATTAGGACATCTCAAGTGGGAAAGGAGATTCTGAGGACATGGTAAAATTATGATAGCTCCTTTCCCCTGCTCTCACAATACCAGTCAATTTGCCCTTCTTAAGACAAATGATTGACGGGGCAAATATCCACTTGACCAAGGTTGTGGACTAAGTCAACAGCATGTGCCTCCTGATCTCATACAGTGAGAAGCATGCAACAGTCATTTGAGGTATTTCTCCCAAAAATATATGACATGAATCTGAACATTAGGAAACACAAGACAGACCCAGGTTAAGAGACATCTTACAGAATAAAGGTGTGTACTCTCTAAATTGGTAAGGTCATGAAAGATAGAGAAAGGTGCAGGAACTCTTCCAGATAGATTAAGACTAAAAAGACATGACAATTAGAAGCAATCAATGATCTTGGATGGGCTGATGACCATAAAGGAAAAAATAAACATTGCAGGATAGGTAGTAAAGTTTGGATGGGGTTGTATAAATAATTTTAAAAGGTGAATTTTTTTAAAGTATCTATTTACTCCCAACAAAGAAAAACCCAGGACCAGATGGCTTTACTGATAAATTCTACCAAACATTTAAAGAAGAATCAACACCAATATTCCCTCAACTCTTCCAAAAACGTGAAGAGGAAGTAAACACTTCCAAACTCACTCTGAGGCCAGCATTATCCTGATACTAAAGCTTGACAAAGACACTATAAAAAAACTACAAACCATTATCTTTGATTAATACTGATGTGAAAATCCTCAACAAAATAATAACAAACAGAATTCAACAGCACATGAAAAGGATTATATGCCATGACCAAGGGAGACATTCTTGGAATCCAATGATGGTTCTATATAATGAAAATCAATCAACATAATGTATCACATTAACAAAATAAAAAAAAAAAACACAATCTTCTTGATTGATGCAGAAAAATTATCTAACAAAATTCAGCACCCTTTCACGATTTAAGAATATTCAACAAACTAGGAATAGAAGGAAATTACC
Organism: Homo sapiens; assembly: GCF_000001405.40. Classification (NCBI taxonomy): domain Eukaryota; kingdom Metazoa; phylum Chordata; class Mammalia; order Primates; family Hominidae; genus Homo; species Homo sapiens. Next base: position 87,432,668 of record NC_000004.12, on the reverse strand, counting down.
TCAACATAATAAAGGCCATATATGAAAAGCCCACAGCTAATGGTGTGAAGGTGAAAGACTGGAAGTTTTTCCTCTAAGATCAGGAACAAGACAAGGATGTTCACTTTAATCAATATAATACTGGAAGTTCAGCCAGAGCAATTAGGAAAGAAATAGAAGTTCTAGCCAGAACAATTAGGAAAGAAAAAAAAAGGAAAAGGTATCCACATTGGAAAGGAAGAAGTAAAACTGGTTGAGCATCCCTAATCCAAAAATCCAAAATCAGAAATTTTTTGAGTGCTGATATGATGCCACAAATAGAAAATTCCACACCTGGCTTCATGTGATGGGTCACAACCAAAACTGTTTCAGGCACAAGTTTAAAATACTGTATAAAAGTATCTCCAGGCTACCTGTTTAAAGTATATATAAAACATAAATGAATTTTGTGTTTAGACTTGAGTCCCATCTCCAAGACATCTCATTATGTGTATGTGAATATTCCAAAACCTGAAATCCAAACCGCTCTGGTCTCAAGCATTTTAGATAAGGGATACTCAACCTGTATTTACACATCGCATGATGTTTTATGTAGAAAACCCAAGATAATTCATGAAAAAACTGTTAGAACTAATAAATGAATTCAGCAAAGTTGCAAGGTATGAATCAACACACAAAAATGGTTACATTAAAAAACACTAACATGCTGGGTGCACTGGCTCATGCCTGTAATCTCAGCACTTCAGAAGGCAGAGGCTAGTGGATCACCTGAGGTCAGCAGTTCAAGACCAGCCCGGCCAACATGGCGAAACCCTGTCTCTACTAAAAATACAAAAATTAGCCGGGCATGGTGATGTGTGCCTGTAATCCCAGCTACTCGAGAAGCTGAGGCAGGAGAATCACTTAAACCCCAGAGGCGGAGGTTGCAGTAAGCCGAGATCAAGGCTCCATCTCAAAAACAAACAAACAAACAAAGCACTAATAATTAACAATCCAAAAGGAACATTAAGAAAATTCTACTTACAATAGCATAGAAAAGAATAAAATACTTAGGAATAAACTTAAGGAAGCAAAACTCTTATACACTGAACACTACAAACTATTGCTAAAAGAAATTAAAGACACCAATAAATAAAAAGACATCCTATGTTCATTGACTGGAAAAAAATATTAAGATGTCAATACTACTCAAAGTTATCCGCAGATTCAATGCAATCTCTGTCAAAATCCCAATGATGTTTTTCCAGAAAGAGAAAACTCTACCTTAAAATTCATATGGAATCTCAAGGAACCCCAAATAGCCAAGACAATCTTGAAAGGGAGAAACAAGTTCAAGGTCTCACACTTACTACACAGCTATAGTAATCACAACACTGAGATACTGGCATACAGAAAGACATATAGACTAGTGGAATAGAAGTAGAACCCAGAAATAAATCCTCACAATAATTTTTGACAAAGGTACCAAGACCATTTCAACAGGGAAAGGGCAGTCTTTTCAACAAATGGTGCTAGGAAAATTGGATATTCACATGCAAAAGTAGTATGAAGTTTGACCCTTACCTTTCACCATATAAAAACATTAATTAAAAGTGGGTCAAAGACCTAAACATAAGACCTAAAATGATCAAAATCTTAGAGGAACACATGCTGACAAAATTTCACGACACTGGATTTGGTGATGATTTTCTGGATATGACACCAAAAGTACAAGCAACAAGAGAAAAAATTGGTAAGCTGGACTATATATTACATCAAGATGAAAAACTTCTGGGTATCAAAAGACACAATCAAGAGAGAAAAAGCAACCCATGGAACAGGAAAAGATACTTGGTAATCACATGTCTGATAAGGGGTTGGTTATATCCAGAATATAGAAAGAACTCCTACACACAACAACAACAAAACAACCCAATTTAAAAACGGGCAAAGGACTCCAATAGACATTTCTCCAAAGAAGATATACAAATGGCCAATAAGCACATGGAAAGATGCTCAATACCACTAATTATTAGACAAAAGCAAGTCAAAACCACAATGAGATACTACCTCAGACCCATTAGAATGACCACTATCAAAAAAACAATACAGAAAATAAGTATTGGCAAGGATGTGGAGAAATTTACTTGCAATAAAAAAAATGACATCAAACAATTTGTATTTCTGTAAGGCATTGCTGAAAAAAGATTCAGTAAAGTCCTATAATATGGTACTATTTTTATAAAGCAATGACATAAAAAATAAATAAGCACATTTCAGTGCATGTATATAATGTATTAGTTTTCTACTGAAGCCACAACAAATCACCACAAATTCAATGACTTAAGACAATAAAAATTCATTGTCTTACAGTTTTGTAGGTTAGAAGTCCAACACAGGTCTCACTCAGCTAAAGACAATTTATCAGCAGGGCTGCATTCCTCTCTGGAGGCTCAAGAGAAAAATCCATTTGCCATACTTTCCCAGCTTCTAGAGGGAATCCTCATTCCACCTGCATTCTGTGGCTCATGGCCCCCTTCCATCATCTTCAAAGCCAGCAACATAGAAATCTCTCTGACCATGTATTAGTAATCATATCTTTGATCACGGCCAGGCCATTTTTTAAGGACTCTCAATTAAATCAGGCGCACCTTCCAGGATGCTCTCCCCATCTCAAAGTCCTTAACCTTAACCACCTCTGCACTCTCTTTTGCTATGTAAGGCAACATATACACAGGTTCCAGGTATCAGGATGTGGACATACTTGGGGGGCCATTATTCTGCTTACCACAACTGTCTATACTATTTATTATATAAGCATATATAGAAGGAGCCATATAATCAGGTTCTTAATATGGGCTAGGAAATAAGGTGCTGATGTGAAGAGAAGTAGAGGCAAACAGAAAGAGGGAAAAGAAAGGAAGGAGAACGAAAAGGAAAGGGAGGGGGAAAGGGGAGTACAGGAGAGAAGAAAAAGGAGATGAGGGGGAAAGAAGAGACAGTGGCAAAGATGGGGGGGAAACGGGGAGAGAGAAAAGGAGAAAAGGAAAGGGAGTTGCAAGAAAGGATAAGAAAAAAAGAACAAGAAAGAAAAACAAATTTAAAAAGGATAAGAAAACTGAAGGAAAAGGAAACAAGGAAAAAAAGAGAAGGAAAAAAGACTACCCAAATTTACCAAATAAAGTGAGGTATGCCTGATCAAATTTATGCAATTAGGGCAAATTACATAATTATATATATATAAAAAGAAACTTCTCAGTGGGGCACAGTGGCTCACGTCTGTAATCCCAACACTTTGGGAGGCCAAGGCAGGGGGACTGCTTGAAGCTAGGAGTTCAAGACCACCCTAGGTGAGACAGTGAGACCCTTATCTCTACAAAAAATTTTAAAAGTTAGTCAGGCATGGTGGTATGTGCCTGTAGTTGCCGCTACTCAGGAAGCTGAGGTGGGAGGATCTCCTGAGTCCAGGAGGTCAAGGCTGCAGTGAACCATGATCACGCCACTGCACTCCAGCCTGGGCAACATAGTGAGATCCTGACTCATTAAAAAAATAAGAAACCTTTTTAATTAAAATTCTTAACCTGACTTACAAGAACTGCTTCCTAGACTTCCTCCTGGTCCCTCTTCGGTGTATATAGTGTAAACATGTACCTACCATTAGGTATCATACGCAAGTTTCACTGCCCTAAAGGCAGTGAATTTTACGTGTACAATTCCATAAGAGTTGATGCGTGTCATTATACATTTGTCCAAACCATAAAGTACAAGACCAAGAGTAAACCCTGATATAAACTACAGGACTTTGGGTGATGAAGCGTCAATGTAGGTTCAATTTTAACAAACGTATGGCTCCGTGGCTCTGTGGGGATGTTGACAATGCGGGAGGCTATGCATGGGTGGAGGTAGGAGGTATACAGGATATCTCTTATCTTTAGCTCAATTTTGGTGTGAACCTAAAAACTGCTCTAAAAAAATGACTATTTTTTAAAGTCCTCTGTGCTACCCCAATTCATCCAACTCCTGATCTTTTTACTGTCTCCATAGTTGTGCCTTCAAGAATGCCATATAGTTGGAATCATACAGCCTTTCCTTCAGTTAATAATATGCATTTAAGATTCCTCCATGTCTTTTCATGGCTTGATAGCTCATTTCTTCTTAGCACTAAATAATATAATATCCCATTGTCTGGATGTACCGCAGTTTATTTATCCATTTACCTACTGAAGAACATCTTGGTTGCTTCCAAGTTTTGGCAGTTATGAATAAAACTGCTATAAACATCTGTGTGCAGGTTTTTGTGTGGACATAAATTTTCAATTCATTTGGGTAAATACCAAAGAGTGTGATTGCTGAATTATAAGTGTTGAGTTCTGTAAGAAACTGACAAACTGTCAGTTGGATTTTTAACTGGTTTCATTCTTTCCTATTCTTGTGTGTCTACAGTTTTATATACTGTTCAAGCTGTTCTCTTTCATCACATTTAAAGACTCTGAAACAATTACTATTTCATTTTACACTCACTTTACATCTGCAAAGTGTGGTAAAACACCCAAAAATGAGGGAAAACCTAACTAATAAAGAAGTTAATATCCCCAGACGGGCTGAAAACTAGTGTAACGTGAGCGAGTATTTGATTTGTGACTAACTTTACTAAAAGCAGTAGGTTCATTCACTTTCATATTATGATTATGACAACTTTCTTGCCTCAGCTGCCACAGTTTAGGAAACCTACACAATGAATATTCTGAAAATAAAGTCTCCCTCACTCACCTTAAACCCATACTCAATAAAAAATGAATACATATATGAAACACATTTATCAAAATTAGCAAACAGACTTCAGGTGTTTTAAAAAGCAAAATTTTAACATATGGAACCCTAATCTCTAATTGAACCCTATCACAAAATGAGTTATGTTTCATGGTTTGGGAGTAGGGCAAGAAAAAAGTTAAGGCCATTAATTAAATACCAAACAGGAAACACTAATGCTGTTCCACTCCATCCCACCCACGTACCAAAAATGTTTAAATAACTTAAGGCTCTTTGTTCCCTGATTTAGCAATAAAATGTTTATGGAATTCCACAAATCTACCTACTTGACAAGACAGATTTACACACTGGATTATTTACTTTTCTAAAACAAATTTAATTGTGCAAAAATTCAGGCTATACATCTTATCACATCAAGAAGTGCTAACACTGCTATCTATATATGCTATTTAAATGTGATACACTGTAAGGTACCAGAAAAAAGAATACTTGTAATACACACATATACAGCCTTGACCTTTGTATTGTATTATTGAACAAGTGCAAGAAATATATTTGGCCTAGCAAATGGGAACTAAGTAGCTGATAAAGTCCATTTACATGGCAAAAACCAATTCTTAAGACTGGCAAACTTTTAAAAATGCAATACTGACGTGGTGCTTTGAAATAAAATCTGCAACAATCATTGTCATAATCACACCTAAATGTATATAGTGATTGCTATGTGCAAGACAGTGTTCTAAGCACTGTAAATTAACTCACTTGATCCTCACAACTGAGTTCAGGTACTTTTTTTTTTTTTAACTTTTTTTTTTTTTTTTGAGACAAGGCCTCACTCTGTTACCCAGGCTGGCATGCATTGGTACAATCATGGCTCACTGCAATCTCGACCTCCCAGGCTCAAGCAATCCTCCTACCTCAGCCTCCTGAGTAGGTGGGACTATAGGCATATGCTACCACACCTGGCTTTTTTTTTTTTTGGTTTAGTTTTTTGTTTTTTTTTTTGGCAAGGGAGTGGTTTGGTAAATCAGGTAGGCTGAGCGACTCCCAATTTTGTTTATTTTTTGTCAAGATGGGGTCTCACTCTATGTTGCCCAGGCTGGTCCTGAACTCCTAGGCTCAAGCAATCTTCCTGCCTCGGACTTCCAAAGTGCTGAGATTACAGGTGTGAGCCTCCACACCAGGCCATATTATCCTTTTTCAATTTTTTTTTTTATAAATAAGAACATTAAGGCCAGGCGCAGTGGCTCACGCCTGTAATCCCAGCACTTTGGGAGGCCGAGGCAGGCGATCGCAAGGTCAGGAGTTCAAGAACAGCCTGGCCAACACAGTGAAACCCCGTCTCTACTAAAAATACAAAAAAATTAGCTAGGCATGGTGGCAGACGCCTGTAATCCTAGCTACTCACTAGGCTGAGGCAGGAGAATCGCTTGAACCCTGGAGGCACAAGTTGCAGAGAGCCAAGATTACACCACTGCACACCAGCTGGGGCGACAGTGCGAGACTCTGTCTCAAAAAAAAAAAAGGAAATAAGAACATTAAGACCCAGAGAGGTAAATAAGTTTACCAAGGTCACACAATTGAGAGTAGAAATCAGGATCCAAACCTAGGCAAGCTGTCTTAGAATTCCAGGCTCTTAACACTATGTTTTACTATCTCTATTTCATTTTTGGTTCATTCATATGTTTTATGCATTCACAGGAATAAAACAATATTCTACACACATCACCAGTAGATCCTTCTGGAAGATTTGTATGTTGTGGTATGTAAAAGCATTCACTACATCTTTGTAATATACTACCTTTTTTCTAGAAAATGTACATTTGATGACTGGGAGCAGTGTCTCACACCTACAATCCCAGAACTTTAGGAGGCCAAGGCAGGAGGATCACTTGAGCCCAATAGTTTGAGACCAGCCTGGGCAACATAGGGAGACCCATCTCTACAAACAATAAATAAATTTTTAATTAGCCAGGCCTGGTAGTGCGCACCGGTAGTACCAGATACTCAGGATGCTGAGCTGGGACAATCACTGAGCCCAGGAGGTTGAGACTGCAGTGAGTCATGATCACACCACTGCACTCCAGCCTAGGTGACAGAGCAATTAAAAAAGAAAATGAACATTGGAAACCTTCTAGTAATCACAAAAACTAAGTGCAAAACTGTCACTTTCTGGGTTTTTCCAAATTATCAAAGACTGGTAAAATTCTTTTTTTTTTTTTTTTTTTCAAAGAGACAGGGTCTTGGCCAGGCGTGGGGGCTCACACCTGTATTCACCAGCACTTTGAGAGGCCAAGGCAGACAGATTGCCTGAGGTCAGGAGTTCGAAACCAGCCTGGCCAAAATGGTAAAACCCCATCTCTACTAAAAATATAAAACTTAGCCAGGCATGGTGATGGGCGCCTGTAATCCTAGCTACTAGGGAGGCTGGGGCAGGAGAATCACTAGAACCTGGGAGGCGGAGGTTGCAATGAGCCAAGATCACGCCACCGCACTCCAGCCTTGGCAACGAGAGCAAGACTCCATCTCAAAAAAAAAAAAAAAAAAAAGGAAAAGAACACTAGGGACACGGTCTTGCTGTGCCACTCAGGCTGGAATGCAGTGATGCGATCATAGCTTACCACAGCCTCAAACTCAACTCCTGAGCTCAAGCAATCCTACTGATCACTTAGTAGTCTCTGAGCCTACTCTGATCCTACTGATAGTGAGGACTACACATGCATGCCACCAGGCCCAGTTTTTTTTTTTTAGAGACAAGGGTCTTGCTAAGTTGCCTAGACTGGTCTCAAACTCCTGGCCTCACACGATCCTCCTGCCTCAGCCTTCCAAAGCACTGGGATTACAGGTGTTAGCCACTGTGCCTGGCCATAAAATTCTTTTTTTGTTTTTCTTGAGACATTGTATCACTCTGTCACCCAGAATGGAATGCAGTGGCATGATCTCAGCTCACTGCAACCTCCACCTCCCCGGTTCAAGCTATTCTGCCACATTAGTTACCAGGTACTTGGCACATTTGTTAACTGTTGGCTTTTTCTTTCAAGTCAGTACAGTCTCTGGTTCTGGATATACCTGCCTCATGTAGGGTTCCCAGAGTTACAAAAACGAAGAATAACTGTCAAGCAACTTTACACTGTTCTGCTGGCATCTAACAAAAAGAGCATTAGAGATTTCCAGAGAGCACACACGTGTATTCCTTCCTTCCTCAAATCCCACTAAAAGAAGATAAAGATAGATAAAGGGAAATAAAATCCGTACCAGGAGAAGGAATAAATGCCACCAGTGAATGACAGATGGTAACCAACTTCAGGAAAATGAAAAGTTGTTGGAATATTGACCTACAAACCAGAGTAGGACAAAGTAAAATAAGAATATGCACCAAGGCCGGGCGCGGTGGCTCACGCCTGTAATCCCAGCACTTTGGGAGGCCGAGACGGGCGGATCACGAGGTCAAGAGTTCAAGACCAGATCAGCCTAACCAAGATGGTGAAACCCTGTCTCTACTAAAAATACAAAAAAAATTAGCCGGGCGTGCGCGCGCCAGTAATCTCAGCTACTCAAGAGGCTGAGGCAGAAGAATCGCTTGAACCCAGGAGGCGGAAGTTGCAGTGAGCCGAGATCGCGCCACTGCGCTCCAGCCTGGGCGACAGAGCGAAACTCCTTCTCAAAAAAAAAAAAAAAAAAAAAAACGCATTAGGGAGAAATGCTATTCCTACAAGCTGAGCCGAGCTAGAGGTTTCAAGCTTGAAGTCAGTGGGCCCAAGGATCATAAACTGGCAGCGCGACAATAACCATGGAAATCACTCAGTCCTCCTCCCTCCCCAATCTCCAAGCAAAAAGTCCAAAATAGTTATGTTTGTCTCCAAGATAAAATCAAAAGTTTTTTAGAAATGAAGGGGTAGGACCCCTACTGTGAATACTGGTGTTAAGAGTACACAGCAGAAACTTAGGCTTAATAATTTTACAGTTCACACGGAGGAAATAAACAGCTATACTCAGCAGAGAAGTTGCTCCACCACTACTGCAAAGCCTGAAGCAAAAGGCAGGTTCCCAGTCTACCCATCTGGTACCTGCTCACATGCCCTCAACTGAAACCTTCCTATCTAGGCAACCTGGTACAGAGCCAAAAGTCAATTAGCGACCCATGTACTGAAAACAAGACCTATTACTCATATTAATCAAAATATAGACAGATAACCAGTGCCCATCACATGTTCGAGAAAAAGCAACAGAAGGAAACAGGACCAAAAAGACACAGAACAATTGACCAACAGTAAGTAAATTATTTAGGAAATAGATTTTTCTAATTATCATCTTTGTAGATTCAAGACTTTTAATATCTATAAAATAAGAAAAGGCTGCTGCACCTAGGACCCTGTGTTTACTAACTCAAAGAATAAAAACTGGAGAAGGGAAGAACAGAAGGAGGCAGTGTAAGACACCATAAATCCCTAAATTTAACCACAATAGACAAATTATTAAAAAAAAGGAGGTAGATAGTAAATATAATATATTGTCCACCCTGGAAAGGGGACAGGGGGAATAGTGATTTTACTTTTCATTTTACATTTTCAAGTTGTTTTAACTATGTACATGTATTAATACTAATAATAATGTTTTAAGTATTAACCATAAAAAAATGGCACGGGACACCACCACCCCAAACAATTGCTATTTAAACTCTCTCGTGATACTAACAATGATTTACAGAGAATGGCAAATTTCAAAATCAGAAGTCAAGAAGGGTCCCTGCCACTCGTTTTCCTCAAAAGGCAGATAAAATATTTTAGAGCCTTTTTGAAAACTTGTATATGACTATAAAAACCCGAGAGGCAAAGCAAAGCCTACAGAATACGCCAGAAAAAAAAGCTGCTTCCCACCCCCAACTCAAGGTCTAGGGCAAAGGAGCCGGTAGTAGGAGGGTGGAATACCTGAACGCCTGGATGCCGCGGCAGCGCGAGGACCTGATAGTCACAGAGGCCAAGGCCAGAGAGAGAGACACCGCGGCTAAAGCCTTTCCCAGGAGGCGTCCCGCCATGAGCGCCCCGAGGGCGGCTTTGCGATGCTAGGTCGCTCTTAGTTGGTGCCTCCGCCTCCCCACACCCCACAGCTCCGAGTCCCGGCCGCGGGTATCTGATGGGCACTAGGACCTGTCTGCCGTTGGGTTCCCGAACGGGAGTAGCTGTGCCTATCTATAAATCACAGATCAAGAGCCCTCCCACGATAAGAGTCCACCGCTTTCCCCAGTGCATCGAGAAAAATCCAGACCAGCACGTGACGCCGAAGCCTCCAGCGCCAGCTGCCTGGGGAAACCGCGGCCACGAACCTCGTAACTTTCTCTCTGCGTAATGGCGCTTTACGGCCGCGCCGCAAAGCAAAGGTCGTGCGTTGCCGGCTTGGTAGCGCCTTCCTTCTCCGACTTCCCAGACTTCCCAGTCTGCGCAGGCTTACTTGGGGACGCAGGGAACTACCAAGAAAGTGTCAGAGGAAAGGAAAGGTGAAACAGACGAGGAACTGGAACGGGAATAAGTGGGAAAGAAGCCAAGGGGTTTGAGAGAGACTTGCTGCCCTGGGTTTTTGGTTTTTGTTTTTTGAGACAAGAGTCTGGCTCTGTCGCCCAGGCTGCAGTGCAGGGGCGCGATTTCAGCTCATTGCCGCCTCAACCTCCTGGGCTTAAGCGAGTCTCTTGTCTCAGCCCCCGACGTAGCTGGGACTACAGGCACACACCGCCATACCTGGCTAATTTTTGTATGTTTTGTAGCGACAGATTTTTGCCATGTTGCCCAGGCTGGTCTCCAACTCTCAAGCTCAAATAATCCAACTGTTTGGGCCTCCCACAGTGCTGAGGTTACAGGCCTCAGCCAACGCGCCTGGCCCTGCTCTGGTTTTTTTAGGGAGTAAGTTGTTGCGGAAGGACGCAGGTCTTAGCCATATTTTTGAATAATACTTCGTTATGGGAATGAAACCGCCTTTGCAAAATTATGACTGATTTGGGAGGCCGAGGCGGGATCACTTGCAGTCAGGAGTTCAAGACCAGCCTGGCCAACGTGGTGAAACCTCGTCTCTACTAAAAATACAAAAATTAGCTGGGCATGGTGGTAAACGCGCCTGTAGTCCCAGCTGCTCAGGAGGATGAAGCAGGAGAATCGCTTGAACCCGGGAGGTGGAGGTTGCAGTGAGCCAACGTCGCACCACTGCACTCCACCCTGGGCGACAAGAGTGAAACTACGTATCAAAAAAAAAAAGAAAAAACCTCTGCTCCCTGAATGCTCAGGGAGACTGATTTGAGTAATAATAGAACTCCGGTCTCACACAGCTGGCTCTGCATGAATTACTCTTTCTCTATTGCAATTCCCCTGTCTTGATGAATCAGCTCTGTCTAGGAAGCGGGAAAGGTGAACCCCTTGGGCGGTTACAGCAAGAGGAGATAGTCCAGAGACTCAGCCCTCGTATCTTGAAGGGTTTCTTGGTTTTTTGTTTTTGTTTTCTTAACCAAGTTGTCTGCTCCAATTGCTGGATTTCATTCACAAGGCTTTGCTAGGACCAGTTGTGGCCCTTGGAAACTCGTGGAGGAGAAAAGCTGTGAAAATAGGCACACATGCTGGAGGAGGAACAGAGGGCAACACACATAATACTGGATAATAAACTTGAGAGGCAAAAATTAAACAAACCGACAAACAAAGTTGGAAACCCAGACTGTCCAAAGCAGCTTGTAATCAGGCTTACTTCATTTATATTAGCTTATTGATGTGGCAACTATTTGACTTTTACTTACATGATCCGCTGTTTCTGTGGTGTGGTTCCAATACACCGACGTTACAAAACTTTGACCATCTTAAAAGCCAGATTAATCGAATTTTAACAACCATTGTTCTGAAAACTGCAGAACTCTCGACAGGTATTGACTGTTCAAACTACACTGTCAACCTAGACGCTGAGGCACGAGATAGAACTTAAAGCATTTACTTTAGCCAAAGTGAGGACAGCTGCCCAGAAGACCCAGACCCAAGTAACCTTAAATGTGAACTCCTGTCCACCTTTGTTACAATCAGGTTTTTAAAGGCAAAAAGGGGACAGGGAGTTGACTGATACAAAGTTGTAAAGAATTACTGGTTTGTAGAAATAGTATTGGTTAGTGGTTGGCTATACGTTAAGCTATAGGGTGCGAGTTACAGTGTCCAGTGTACCATTATTAGGTTAATTTTTAGCTACTTGTGGCTATAGTAAGCAGTTTAAAGAGATGAATGCATAACAAAGTGGGGAGTAGGATGTAATTGCTGTCTCATTTTAATGTCTCTCTGGGCCTGGTAATTTAAAAGGATTTACCTTCCTCATATAAAAGTTCTTTTCTCGGCACTGAGAGATTTGATTATACTCTAGCATAGCTTCCAGTAGCTTAAGGCCTTGTCCCTAGGCTGACCCCAGATCCCGTTAAAATGCTTCCCTGAAATCAAAACTCAATGCCTGGAGAATTTACTGTTTGTTCCAGCCAAAACTTGATGATAGGCAGATAGGTCCCTGAACCCCTTCTTAGAGCAGTCACTTTAGAAAGCTTGTTTCTCTACCCTTGGTGATGTAAGTCTACCACCCAACACAGTTTCCTCAAAGACTTGGGAGCCATCTCTTTGAAATGCAAATATTCAGAAAGATAACTCACCCTAGCTCCTAGTCCCTGTACAAGACCGGTACCTTGCTTTAGCTAGCACCACTGCCTCCTATCATAAAGATAGAAGTTTGTTTCTCCTCTGGATAAGAGCCAGTTAACAAACCCAAATGGCCTAATCACATCAATCAACAAACCACCGTGCCCCCCTGCCACCCCCCAAAACTTAAGATCCTTTTGTGCCTTTCCTTTTTGCATACCACAGCCTTTTGTTTCAGGGAAGTGTGGGATTAGTTTGTATTACACTCTTTTCCCTATTGGACTAGCATCACTGAATAAAGTCTGTCCTTACTGCTTTAACTAGTGTCCAGCTTTGTTTATTTTGACTGCTTTCTCAGGTTGAGAAGTACTATTATTGAAATGTGCATTTTAAAGATAAATATCAGTACTCGGCTTCCTCTGGTCAGATAAACTTTGCTCTCAGTGTTGTTAATCACTGCTTAAACTGGAAATGTATTAGACCGGCTCTGTTCATCAAGTTCAGCGTGTCCAAAGTCTGTTGACAAATTAGTCACTAGAGAAGACAGGAGAAAAGCAGTGAGTTACAAAGTCAACAATCAAAGAAAGGGAGCAACAGAAAGTAGTTCTCACAGGAAGCTCCTCAGACCCTAGTCTTATAACTCCATATTCCCTAAGGGGAGGCTAGCGTGAACTTAGTTTGATGAACCTGTGCAAACAACTGTACAAACAAAACCAATTCCATGGCACTGAAACAAAACTGCAATTAGCTGGGACAGCCAGATCTCCTGGGTTCCTCCCTTCAGGGATGCATACTGCACATCTGCTCAGGTGTAGTGAGTGCATGTTCTGCAACCTGCTCTTGGGTAGAAACAAAACATCTCCTCATCAAATTACCCACATCCTAAATTAGTTAAACAGATGTCATCAGAATTTAAGGAGAAGTAAGGACTTTTTAAAAATTTATGAAGCATATACCAACTTCAAGGGCATCTTGCAATAGTTGGTGAGACAGACCAAGAACACTGAGAAATGAGAATTTTTAAATAGGAAAGTGACATATGTGATTATTAGAATTGATGAGTATGTTAAAAGTAAGAGTAATTCAGAATCCCAACTATTTCCCTGATATAGTTTGGATATTTCTCCCCTCCAATCTCATGTTGAAATGTATTCCCCAGTGTTGGAGGTGAGGTCTGGTGGGAGGTGTTTGGGTCATGAGGGTGGATCCCTTGTGATAGTGCTATCCTTGTGATAGTGAGTTCATGCAAGATCTGGTTGTTTAAAGATGTATGACACCTTGTCCACCTCTTTCTTGCTCCCACTCTCGCCAAAATGTCAGCTCCCCTTTGCCTTCCACCATGATTGTAGGCTTTCTCAGGCCTCACCAGGAGCCAAGCAGATGCCCAGCACCATGCTTCCTGTACAGCCTGCAGAACCGTGAGCCAATTAAACCTCTTTTCTATTGGGGGAACTCACCCCCAATATTTCAACGTAGATTGTTTCTATTTTCCATAAGTGTCAGACAGCTGAGAAATAAAGAGAAAGAGTACAAAGAGAGGAATTTTACAGCTGGGCTGCCGGGGGTGACATCACATGTCGGTAGGACCATGATGCCCACCTGAGCCGCAAAACCAGCAAGTTTTTATTAAGGATTTCAAAAAGGGAGGGGGTGTATGAACAGGGAGTATGTCACAAAGATCACATGCTTCAAAGGGCAAAAGGCAGAACAAAGATCACATGCTTCTGAGGAAACAGGACAAGGGCAAAATCAGAACTCCTGTTAATGGTCTATGTTCAGCAGTGCACATATTGCCTTGATAAATATCTTAACAGAAAACAGGGTTCGAGAGCAGAGAACCAGTCTGACCAAAAATTCACCAGGAAGGAGTTTCCCAATCCTAGTAAGCCTGAGGATACTGCCAGAGACCAAGGCGTATCTCAGTCCTTATCTCAACCGCATAGGACAGACATTCCCAGAACGGCCATTTATAGACCTCCCGCCAGGAATGCATTCCTTTCCCAGGGTCTTAATATTAATATTCCTTGCTAGGAATATTAGTGATAAAGAATTTAGTGATATCTCTCCTACTTGCACGTCTGTATATAGGCTGTCTGCAAGAAGAAAAATATGGCTCTTTTTGCCCAACCACGCAGGCAGTCAGACCTTATGGTTGTCTTCCCTTGTTCCCTAAAAAATCGCTGTTATTCTGTTCTTTTTCAAGGTGCACTGATTTCATATTGTTCAAACACACGTTTTACAATCAATTTGTACAGTTAACACAATTATCACAGTTGTCCTGAGTTGACATACATCCTCAGCTTACGAAGATAACAGGATTAGGAGATTAAAGTAAGACAGGCATAAGAAATTATAAAAGTATTATTTGGGAACTGATAAATATCCATGAAATCCTCACAATTTATTCCTCTGCCACAGCTCCAGCCGGTCCCTCCGTTCAGGGTCCCTGACTTCCCACAACACTTTTTTTTATAAATTACCCAGTCTCAAGTATTTCTTTCTTTTATTCTTTTTTTTTTTTTTTTTTTTTTTTTTTTGAGATGGAGTCTCACTCTGTCACCAGGCTGGAGTGCAGTGGCGCGATCTCAGCTCACTGTAACTTCTGCTTCCTGGGTTCAAGCGAATCTCCTGCCTCAGCCTCCCGAGTAGGTGGGACTACTTGGCCCATGCCACCATGCCCAGCTAATTTTTTGTATTTTTAGTAGAGATGGAGTTTCACCATGTTGGCCAGGATGATCTTGATCTCTTGACCTCGTGATCTGCCCTCCTTGTCCTCCCAAAGTGCTGGGATTACATGTTTGAGCTACCGTGCCCGGCCTCAAGTAGTTCTTTATAGCAATGCAAGAATGGCCTAACACATTCTCTTTTTTTTTTCTGCATTTATTTAGTCATTGTAAACAAACATTCTCTGAAAAGGAATTTGGAGGAAAGAGACTTTATTCCAGTGAACAGTTTGCAAACCAGGGAAACACAGCCTTTGGTATAAAACAGAAGTGTGCTCCAGAGAACAGAGAGACGGTTTGGATTTTATAACCAAAATTGCCACCCAGATTACTAACTAGGTCTGTTTACACAAATGAGGGATTCAAGCTAGCTTAATTCTGATTGGTTGGCACAGCTGAGCTTATTGGTTGGTTCAGGTGAGCTCTGTAAATCCCAAAGTTCAATAGAGGTGTGAGTTTTCAGTGAACTCAGAGTATGTGGGTGACCTTTAGTAGGCAAATGGCCACTTGGCTCTGTTTAAAATTTGTTAGCCACGTGGGATCCATCTTAAAGGATTTCCTCTTTCAGGTTTGCATTTATTCACATTATACCATAATGACGAATAATACTATTTACCAAGCATACCACCCCAGGTGCCATGAATACAGTTGTGAACAAAATGGACAAGGTCTTACTCTCATGAAGCTTACTTTATATGAGAGGGAAATAAACATTAATAAGTAAACCAATAAACTAGGAATTCCAGATTAGGAAAATTGTTGTGAAGGAAATAGATAACTGCTGAGGGACAGGATAGTTGAGGGAGAAGTGACTACTTTAGATTGCAGGGGAAGGATGTCTTTTCTGATGAGGTCACTTTTGTGCAGAGACCTAAGGACATGAAGCTGCCAGTCATTGAAAAAGCTAGGAAAAGAGCATTCAAGGCAGATAAGACTGTACCTTGAAAAAAAGATCTGAGGTAGGAAAGAAATAAAAATAATAATCAAGGAGGCTGGGCACAGTGGCTCACTCCTGTAATCCCAGCACTTTGGGAGGCCAAGGCAAGTGGATCATCTGAGGTCAGGAGTTCAAGACCAGCCTGACCAACGTGAAACCCCTTCTCTACTAAAAATACAAAATTAGCTGGGCGTGGTGGTGGCTGCCTGCAATCCCAGCTACTCAGGAGGCTGAGGCAGGAGAATCACTTGAACCCGGGAGGTGGAGGTAGCAGTGAGCCGAGATTGTGCCATTGCACTCCAGCCTGGGCGCCAAAGCGAGACTCTATCTCAAAAAAAATGAAATAAAATAAAATAATCAAGGAATAGAAAGGCCAATAAACTAAAGCATAGTAAACTAGGGGCATAATAATCTGTACTAAGGCCAGTATGGTGGACACTGCTGGGTGCTTCCCAATACCCATTCATTCTTTCTTCCACATTATGTGTAGAAATATGCCTAGTTTTAACTTTCACCTCCCTAGTTCTCTCTGCAGCTAAAGGGGCCATGTGGCTCTTTCTGGTCAATTAGATGAAAGTGGAAGTCTACTGTGTGGGTCTTCCAGAAAGGGTATTGTTTTCCTGGTAAAAAGGAATTAGCTCATTTCATAAGCACCATTTACCCTTTGCCATTTCGCCTCCTTCCTTTATTCCAGCTTGAAAGGAGGACATAATTCCTAGAGAAGGAGGAGCTATCCTGACACCAATACTGACAAAAGCCACACAGTATGGGTGGCAGAGTTGGGTGCAAGAAGGAGCCTGTCTTTTATGACTTCCTCAAGTAGATACACTGGCCCTGGACAGCTGGCTTCTGGACTAATCAAGAAAATAAACCCTATCATTATGATTGTGTTAATTTTATGTAAAAATCCTGACTGAAAACTTAAACATCTAAGGCCTTACGGGCCATTCTGAGAAATTAGGATCTTATCCCAAGTGCAATGAGAAGCCATTAAAACTCCACCAAACTTTATTGTTCACAACATAGAGAAGTAGATGTTATAAACATTGAAACTGGATAAACAGCAGCATTCAAATGGGCATTGTGTGGGATCAGGGTACTGGATTCTTAATACTTGCTTTTTTTTTTGATACAGAGTCTCACTCTGTTGCCAAGGCTGAAGTGCAGTGGTGCGATCTCGGCTCACTGCAATCTCCGCCTCCCAGGTCCAGGCGATTCTCCTGCCTCAGCCTCCTGAGTAGCTGGTATTACAGGCACACACCACCACGCCTGGCTAATTTTTGTATTTTTAATAGAGATGGAGTTTCACCATGTTGGCCAGGCTGGTCTTGAACTCCTGACCTCAAGTGATCCACCCGCCTCAGCCTCCCAAAGTGCTGGGATTACAGGCATGAGCCACCACACCCGACTAATACTTGGTTCTACTTCTGTCATCTCCCTCTTATTTCCCACAATTCACTGGGTCAGAAGTAGCTTCCTTCCCTCTCTCTCTTTCCTTATGGAAAAAATTTTTTTGTCATAACTTCTGTTTTTTCAGTTAAAGAAACCCTTCACACTCACCAGTCCTGCTTCTTGATAAGTTAATCCATGCAGAAGGATTTTTTTAAACCCCTTCTCACTTGACAAAGCCTGGCTTTCAAGATTAATCCTATGCTGGAGACTCAAAAATCCCATTTGACAGTTGCTTCTTTGTTCCTATTCATATCTGTTCTTCCCCCTAAAGCACAGAAACCATTATTTCAATGGATGGAGTGCCTCAGGGCAATAAGATACTCAAATATAAAAACATCTAAAAGTATTTCAAAAATTTTATGCTCATGGTGTTTTTTTTTTTATTTTGACTATATAGTTTGGGCACATTCACTTCTCTATGCCTGTTTCCTTACCTATAACGATGAGGAGATATGGTAATCAACACCATACAGCTATAAGAATTAAAGAAGATAAGTTTTATAAAATGTCTAACAAAAAATTGTAATTATTTTTTTCAAGCATTTGCAATGTGATACCTACAATTGGCTATATACTTTACACATATTACCACGTTTAGAGCTGACAGTTACCCCCAGGAGGGTTGGTGTGATTGTCTCTATTTTAGAGATAAGGTTCAGACTCGGAAAAGTTAAATAACTTGCCCAACTTCACAAAGCCTATCTAATAATTTCTAGAGTCAGATGTATTAGTTTTCTATGGGTGCCATAACAAATTACCACAAATTAGTAGTTGAAAATAACAGAAATTTATTTTCTCACAGTTCTGGAGACTAGAAGTCCAAAATCAATTTTGTTGTGCCAAAATGAAAGTGTCTACTGGACTATGCTCACGCTGAAGGCTCCAGTGGAGAATCCATTCTTTGCCTCTTAGAGCTTCTGGTGGCTGCTAACATTCCATGGCTTGTGGCCACATCAGTCCAATCTCTGCTTCTGTGGTCACATTGCCTTCCCCTTTCCTGTTTGAATCAAATTTTCCTCTTCCTCTCTTGTTATTATTATTATTATGATTATTACTATTATTATTTGAGACAGAGTCCTTCTCTGTTGTCCAAGCTGGAGTGCAGTGGTGCGATCTCAGCTCACTGCAACCTCTGCCTCCCAGGTTCAAGCGATTCCCCTGCCTCAGCCTCCCAAGTAACTGGGATTACAGGCATGCACCACCACACCCAGCTAATTTTTGTATTTTTAGTAGAGATGGGGTTTCACCATGTTGGCCAGACTGGTCTTGAACTCCTGACCTCAGGTGATCCACCTTCCTTGACTTCCCAAAGCACTAGTATTACAGGTATGTGCCACTGCACCCAGCCTCTCCTGCTCTTTTATAAGGACACTTGTGATTTCATTTAGTGCCCACCAGGATAATCTCATCATCTCAAGATTCTTAACTACATCTGCAAAGACCCTTTTTTCATGTTAGGTAACATTTATGGGTTCCAAGGATTAAGACCTGATATCTTTTGAGGTTTTATTCAGTTTGCTACATAAGGATTCAAATGTAGATCTATATGACTATAAGCTTAAATTTCAACCATGCATTTGTCCACTTCATATTTATTAAATTCCTGATACATACAAGCACTGTGGCAGATACTGTGGCTACAATGGGAAGCAAAACCAATCACCACTGGTTGATTTGGGCTGCCCTTATGAGTTGACAAGTTCACTGGGGAGATAATATTGGTAAAAATAATCATGCAAATAAATGTCAAATTGCAACTATGATGCATGTTATGATAGGAGGTACATGGTGCTCTAGGAATTTGTGATAGGCAAATTTGGTCAAGTCTGGGAAAGCTCCACATACTAAGAAACACTTGAGATCTGAAGGAAGAATAAGGGTCACTAGACATAAAACGAAGAACAAGCAAAAATCCTTATGCAGTCCTGCTAGCACAAGGTCTGACACATATTAAGTGCTCAGAAAATCAGGTTCCCTCTTCCTACTCTCCTCTCTTCCTTAAAGAATCTACTGGTGCAACTATAGTCTTATTCTAACAGACATAGAACTACTCCCATGGGGCTGTAGAGAACTACACAGGTTTCCTTAAGTGTCTTCCTAACTCATGCTCTGTGCTGTAGTCCATGTAACATCTGTCTTCACAGGTCATAGTTCATGAGTGTAAATTTTGATAAATCTTTAATATACCTTGCTCCATCAAGACAAGAACCAAAAATTAAATACTTAGTTTGTAAAAAAAAAAAAAAAAAGCAAGCCTTTGTCAACATGCTGTGTGTTCCAAAATGGGATTGAGACATTGTCAAGACATTTGAAAAACCCCAACAAACCATCCATTAACAGAACTTTTTTTTTTTTTTTTTTTTGGAGACAATAGTCTCACTCTGTTGCCCAGGCTAGAGTGCAGTGGTGCGATCTCGGCTCACTGCAACTTCCACCTCCCTGGTTCAAGCAATTTCCTTGCCTCAGCCTCCCGAGTAGCTAGGATTACAGGCTCACGCCACCACACCTGGCTAATTTTTTTGTATTTTTTGTAGGGACAGGTTTTCCCCATGTTGGCCAGACTGGTCTTGAACCCCTGACCTCAGACAATCCACCCGCCTCGGCCTCCCAAAGTGCTGGGATTACAGGCGTGAGCCACCGCACCCAGCCAACATTTATTTTTTTAAAAAAGGTCTTGTTAATTCTATCTCAAATTGTTTATTAGGCAAGAGAAAGTTATTCAAAGACAGTCGTTGCAAATGTTACCATGTGTTATGTGAAAGAAATTTCAGAAAATGTGCTTTTGCAGTTGAAAGTAAGTAGTTTTCAAAGCTTTCATGGACTGTTTTTTGGTGTTTTTTTTTTTAAGCCAGTCAAATTTAGCTGGCACGGGGTGGGGGGGGTGGCAGGGGCAGGGCTGTACACCAACTTTAGTGACACTAATGTTAATAAGTTCTGATATCCCTTACTATCGGACCAGCCTAACTGACATTTGCTATATAAAGAAAATAAAATTATCTGATTTAACAGCTAGTTGAAAAACAAAATGTGGAATAGTTTCCTTTTTTGTTTTAGATCTTATTCAATGTTATTTCTTAACCTTCTCAGATATTTCTTTTTTTTTTTGAGACTGAGTCTCACTCTGTCACCCAGGCTGGAGTGCGGTGGTGCAATTTTGGCTCACTGCAACCTCCAGCTCTCGGGTTCAAGTGATTCTCCTGCCTCAGCCTCCCAAGTAGCTGGGATTACAGGCATGCATGACCACATCCGGCAAATTTTTGTATTTTTAGTAGAGACAGGGTTTCCCCATGTTGGCCAGGTTGGTCTCGAACTCCTGACCTCAAGTGATCTGCCCGCCTTGGCCTCCCAAAGTACTGGGATTACAAGCGTAAGCCACCACACCCTGCCTAAATGTTCTGTTTCTTAACCTGATGATGGTTATGTAAATGTCCATTTTATTATTCTGTAAATCATACATTGTTGTGCTTATGATTTATTTCACAATTTAAGAAAGATCACCACCAATGCCCTTGCTCAGATTCCATGCTCATTAAAGAGCATTCTGGTGATGCTCTGACTCCTATTGTAACTGTGCCTCCAGTAAGGGAATGGATATTGGACCATTTGGCATATATAATTCTTTTTTTTTTTAGAGTAATAAACTGGTGTGCAAGTTTTATTTTAGAAAAAAGTACTGATGAAACAATGAATGCTTAGTTCATTTAATGACTGTGTTCTTATAAATGAAATTAAATTGGTCTCTCAATATATCCTCTTAGAGCCAATATATCTTCTGCAAGTAACCAAATTCATTCTCAGAATCAGGACTTTCTGGATGCTTCATTTTCATCCCATATTGCAGCTTCAATTTTTAAAGCATCATATTCCCTCATCGTATCAAATTCAAGCCACAGCTGTCTCTACTTCTAAGCTGCTTTCATTTGTTCTTCAGTGAAACAAGGATCAAATATTATTCCTTAAATATTAAAATTTGGACAGTCCCAGCATTTGGACCAGGGCTGAGGCTTCATTTTCATTTTCAGCTTATTAACAGGAACTTCTTGGCTAGGCTCTTGTGCTACTGGCTTCATATTCACATCAACAGTGCTATATTCAGGAAAAGCATCTCGTAACCACAGCAAGCTATCATCCACCCATTTCTCTAATTTGACCACTTGAGTCTCCCGGATTCGAGGATTATAAAGTTCAAAGCAAATTTTAACACCTTGTCCTTCAATAACATTCCTAAGGATAAAAGTAGCCCCAAGTCCTTTTCCTGATCTCTAGATGCAAATCCCCAGAAACTGGCTGATTTTTTCACTGGCATATGAGTCAGCTGTAGTAACACAAAGAATACTTCCAACATAGAACTCTGGAATGTGGAGTACTTTTCTCCTCTCTAACATAACTTTTCTTCCTATTTGAAACTTCAGAGGATTTATTCTTCCCCTTGGAGGAATGAATTAGGGACTCAAGAACTGCAAGCAACAGAGGCCAGCCCTGAGCCTGGAGACTCCAGCCTAGGTTCCTTGCAACCCCATACCCCGCCACAATGCAGTCCACCATGCTAGCTTGCTCACGTTGAGACTACCAGTTTCCATGTTTTAAATTAGTAATTTTTCTTCCTTTTGGTGAGTTCTGTAAGGTTCCATAAGTAACCTCTCATCAATATTTACAGCTAGAGAAAGAACTGAAAACTGTGGGTTTGCATCAAATAAAAATTACTGTGTATAGTAGCAGTGCTGCAAGAAGTAGGACAAGAGTTATCTGGACATACATCCACAGAGAGTTTGATTGATTTGGTGGCTGGGAGATAAGGGCATTCCTTGTGATTGCTTCTGTTTATGTCAATGGAGACAAAGTGGTCAGCTGACGGTGAGGGAAGAAAAGGGAGTATAGACAGTAAGAGGAGACAAGACAATGTGTGATATAATCTCTTTTAGACAGTGGGAAAGCAAACATCATAGGAAATTTCCTCCCAGGGAGTATTTAACGATCCTTTGATATTTGTGTATGTGAATTCAATCAGCATGGTTGAGGCTGTTTTTTGTTTTGTTTCAGGAATGCTCAGCTTCGTGGTGCAAACACAAAGTAGAAGAGAGTGGGGTTTAACTAGGGGTTGGAGCATTGCTAGGAGAGTCCAATAGTGGGATCAAGCATCAGGAGAATGATTCTAATGAAGGGCGATGGGTTCTAAGCTGAGTAAGGGGAGAAGGGAGGAACTGAGTCAGGTAATCTGTAGTGGAAAGTAGAAGTTAGTTGATTGGAGGACACCAGTCAAGTAGTTGCTCTAGTGGGTGCACTCAAGTGAGTGGGCTGGAAGGCTAGTGGGGGAGGGGTGGGGTGTGAGAGAGGGGGAGGTTCCAAGCTGAGATTGGGATGCTGTGCAGAACTGAGGATATCAAAGTCATGAATATAGCCACAGGAATGAGTGATAAAGACAACTGAGTAAAAGCCAAGTCAAACAAGCAATTTTTGGCCTTATCTAGTCTCTTCTCTGCACATTGGTCTCCAATATGTAACTATTTTACCATTGCACGATAACAATAAACTTGGCAGTTCTCGGAGGACTTATCTTCCTGTTTATGAAAGAGCAGTGAACTCAGAGGTTATCACTGGTAGGTAGATGGTTAACGCACAGTAAATAGACCTATAATTCACATGGGAGTGATCATAGGACAAAGTGTTCTGGGAGCATTATAAAACTCCAGGGAAATCAAGAGGCTAAATGTGACTTGTAAGGCTGCAAACAATAAAGGTGGCAAAAAAGGAGGAGTGTTGAGTGGTTTCAACTCATGATGAAGGAAACTCAATAGTAGGAAAAAGGAACTGGGTTAAGCACATTCACCCTAATTCTTCGGGGTTATAAGTCAAGGACAAATAAATCTGCATACCCTTTTATTTACTCCTTTATCTCCACAAAAGGGAATATTTTTACATGAAGTAAATCAAGCTAGAATGAATATCCACAGTAGCCTTGAAGAGGAAAGCAAGGATAACAAAACAAAAGTGGATAGTATATGAAGGGTTCAGAACCACTTTCTCCCAGTAGGTTTAACCTGAGGCACCAAATAACAGAAAACTGCAAATAAATTAGAGGGAAGCAGCACTGAGTTCAGGTGCAGAGTTTAATTTCAATCTCTTTCAAATCTCAGATTAAAAATTGTATAGTTTGGACATTCTACATAGCAAAATTATTAGATAAGATATTCAGGTTTAAATTCTAGTCTCACTTATGAGGCAGAAAAAAATGTAACTGTATATACCTACTCGAATGCTAGTTTGACAATTTTATGATCTCATTCATAAATTTATTTTCTTAGAGTATAAACTTAGATAATTTTCTAATAAGGTGTTTCCTTATTGGTCATTGAATTTATCGATCATAGTTTTCTGAAACTTTCCACTACTTGTTGGGAAAAAGCTGAGTGTTGGGAAAAAAACTGAGGCAGGGCTTGCATGTCTGACATAATGTCCTCTGGAATGTGTCTAGACTTGCTGGCTCCTTGCTTCTAGCCCTCCTAGGCTCCTAGATCGATTGTATTCCCATTATCTCAAGTAGCAGAAGATGTTCCATATAAATGCTAAACCATCACAGCTGTAGATCATGCACCTGCCCTTTCGACCCCCACATTCTCACGACCTGTTTCTTTGTTGGATTACCAATAAATAGCTTGGGCTCCCAGAGCTCAGGGCCTTCCCAGCCTCCACAATCCCGATGGCCCTCTGGTCCCACTTTCCTTCTCAAACTTTTTCTCAATCCTTTGACTCTGCCGGACTTTGTCGCCCCCACGATCTGGTGTTGGGACTAATCATCCCAACATTCCTGGTGGCCCAACATGGGGCAACAAAGACCCCGGTGAAGGAACACTAGAGTATGTGAAAGCAGAGGACGCATCATCAAAGGACACCCAAGGATGTCTAAAAGAAGCTCGGCAGGAAAGCTGAGCACTGTGAAGAACGAGGGTAACAACGGGACAAAGAAAAAGCAGACATTCTACTTATTTAAATTTCTTAAGGCATTTATTACAAAGAGGAGGAGTGAAAGTTAGTACTCAGAATTTGTTATCACCCTTTAATGCAGTAAAGCAGTTTTGCCCATAGTTCCCAGAAAAAGGGACTATGGAGTTGGATGAATGGGAGAGAATTGGTGGAGGTTTTTAAAGTGTATAAAGGTCGAGCAAAAATTCCAGTCTTGGTCTGGTCAATGTGGGCGCTAATAAAAGCAGCTCTTGAGCCATTTCAAACAGATGATGAGGCAGATTCAGATGAGGAAGAGGAGGATGAGTGTAAAAAACTACCCTCAGATTCTGAATGTGAGGAACAGGAAATGGAGGAAATTAAAGAAAAGAAAGGGAAACTGAAAAAAGTATGTTTTACTAGCCCGTTGGCTCTACCTGCTGAATTAAGTGAAAGACCACCTCCTCTCTCTCCCCTTAATGGGCGAGAAGATGAATTAGCTACAAAACTTACTGCTCCTGTAGTTGCAACATTAAAATCTGGAGCAATTGGTGATGCTATACAAAATTCTATTCAAAAGGCTAGAGTGGAGGCAGACCTTGAAGCATGGCAATTTCCCATAACTATAATCCAGCAGGAAGGACAGAATATAGCTAATTGGACCACCTTTCCTTTTAAGCTGATAAAGGAATTCAAGCAAGCCATTAGTCAATATGGGCGAAACTCTCCTTTTGTGCAAACTTTATTAAAAAATGTTTCTCTCAATAATATGTTAATACCGTATGATTGGAAAACTTTAACAAAATCTGTTCTCACTTCATCTCAGTACTTGCAGTTTAAAACCTGGTGGGCTGATGAAGCTCAAACTCAGACAAGGGAAAATACACAAGCACGACCACCTGTGCCTGTTTCCTTTGAACAGTTAATGGGAGTTGGACCTGATTGGGGTTGATTAGAAAATCAAGCAGTAATGGAGGATGTTGCCATTGTTCAGCTGCGCTCTGTGTGCTTACAGGCATGGGAAAGGATAAATGTTACAGGAGAAAAATATCCTTCTTTCAGTTCTGTCCAACAAGGACCTAAAGAATCATCTATTAATTTTATTGCTTGGCTCCAAGAGGCTGTGTATAAAGCCATAACTGATAAAACAGTTCAAGATGTTGTAATACAGCTTCTTGCATACGACAATGCTAATGCAGAGTGTTAAACTGCTGTTAGACCCCTGAGAGGGAAGCCTCATTTAGCTGAATATATTAAGGCTTGCGATGGCATTGGAGGTAACTTACATAAGGCTACTCTTTTAGCTCAGGCTATGGCTGGATTACGAGTCAGAAAGAATATGCCCCATTTCTCAGGCTCTTGCTCTAATTGTGGGCAATTTAGACACATAAAAAAGGAATGTAGAAAAGGAAATCAAAAGGCAAGAGCTACCAACAGAAAAGTACTTGTGTATGCCCCCGTTGTGAAAAAAGCCATCACTAGGCAAGTCAGTGTCATTCTAAAATTAGCAAAGATTGACAACCTCTCTTGAGAAACAGGAAGAGGGACCTGCCTCGAGTCCCTCAACAAACCGAGGCATATCCGGCACAGCCACTGCCCTTACAAATGTACAATTGTCCCCCCACCACAGCAGGCGGTGCTGTTGTAGACCTCTGAAGCACAATTCCCATCTCCTTACTTCCTGGGGAGCCACCAAAAAAGGTCCCTACAGGAGTTAGGGGACCCTTACCCGCAGGAACAGTTGGTCTATTACTTGGAAAGTCTAGTCTAAATTTGAAAGGTGTCACTGTGCACATGGGAATAATTGATTCTGATTATACCAGAGAAATTCAATTAGTTATTAGTTCCTCGACTCTATGGTCTGCTTCCCCAGGAGAAAGAATTGCTCAGTTGTTGCTGTTACCTTACATAAAACTAGGAAGCAGCACAATGAAGAGAACAGGAGGCTTTGGTAGAACTAATCCAACAGGAAATGCTGTATATTGGGTTAATCAAGTGTCTGACAAAAGACCTATTTGCA